>NC_000006.12:1575151-1726666 GCF_000001405.40 Homo sapiens | reverse complement strand
CTTTAATAATCAGCTGGAGCATCAGCCTGTGCTGCTGTGGTTAATGAGCTTAAGCGCTCCTGCGGGGAGAGGGCTGGGGCATCCCAAGGTGCTACAGCATGGCCAAATGTTCCCAAGCAATTAGGAGCTGATTCAGTGTTTATCTTCCTTACAGGTGGGAAGGAAAGAATGAAAATGAAGTGGGCAGATGTAAAGAGACCGGCAAAGTTCACGTGACTGTGGATCTCAAGTACTACCGGCCAACTGAAGTGGTAAGGACTCTCTGGCCACCCAGTGCGTGGCCACATTTGGCTGGCTGGCTGGGCAAATGCGCTCATGGAATGCCTGGTGCCAGCCTTTGGAGCTGTCAGTTCAGCTCCCTGGCATCCTTCAGCGTGCATTTCCAAAATCAGAACACAGTGAATTCAATTTGAGATTATCATTCTTACCACAAACTTCATTGCTCTATAAAGGAAAACAAGAGTTAAACCCACCAAAAGAAATCATTGATTTCAGAAATGGAATCTCACATCACACGCAGATCTCCTCATGTTGGTCTCCTATTCTAATGGCTGGTCCCTGATAACCTACAGGATGCCTGACTTAACAACGCTGTCCCAGACCTGCAGGACATCTAGGTCCTCTCCAGCTATGTCTATGTCTGTGTCTGTGTACTCATACACAAGTGCATACTTGCACACTATACCATAAATGGTCTCCCCTGCTTTTTATAAGACTCAGGTCAGGGACCACCCTGTCCATGTAGCCTTTTCTGGCCGATACATCAGTACTGCTGAAATTCCTTCCCACTCCTTTCTTTGTATCCACATTATATGCTATACATAATTCTATTATAGTACCTACTATAACCCACCATAATCATTTGTTTACATGTCTTTCTCTCTTTACCAAATTGTGAACTCTTTGAGAATAGGGACTTTTAAAAAATATCTTAAGGCCAGGCACAGTGGCTCATGCCTATAATCCCAGCCCTTTGGGAGGCAGAGGCATGCAGATCACCTGAGCTCAGGAGTTCAAGACCAGCCTGACCAACATGTGAAACCCCATCTCTACTAAAAATACAAAATTAGCCGGGTGTGGTAGCGCATGCCTGTAATCCCCACTACTCGGGAGGCTGAGGCAGGAGAATCGCTTGAACCCAGGAGGCGGAGGTTGCAGTGAGCCGAGATCGCGCGCCATTGCACTCCAGCCTAGGCAACAAGAGTGAAACTCCGTCTCAAAAAAAAAAAAATCTTACACTAGACTATAACAAGGTAGGTACTTAATAAATACTGACTGATTGCTAGATGGATGGGCGAATTTCTAAATACAGAACTTCCTGTGTTACAAAATGGTTGTTAGAACATAACATCCTCCTTTCCTAAACTTATAAAGCTGCCTAGCTTGCTGTTATTGCTTTAATGAGGTCCATCCTCACTATGGAAGCAAAGCTCAACATATGAAATATACCTAAAGATAATAGAAAGCATCATCTCTAGAGAGAAACGTTCATATGTGTTACCTAGTGAACATTAACTGTGAAAATTGAATTTTTTGAAACCATTTTCCCTGTGTTCTGAACCAAATTCCTATCTGTTGTTCAACCTTGGAGAGGTTAGGAAAACCCCAGTGAAGAGAGACTGAAAGTGAATCGGTCATCATTTACCACTCTTTAAAATGTCTTGTTTCAGACAGAAGGAAAAAACTGTATTTCATGCACTCTACCACACAGGAGGAAATAAAAAGGAAAGGAAGTAACCAGTGCTTGGGAGAGGTAGGGCTGTGGAGTCGTGCATTGTCCGGGCACAGGGCGTGGCCGGGGCTCTGACACAGTGAACCATTGTTCCCGGTGCTAATGGAGAGTGGGTGTGCCTAGGAGAGGATGTGTACTGGCCCTCAGGGAGGAAGATGCCAGCCACGCTGTGCTGACATAGCAGGGACTGCCGACTGGAGCCCTGAGCTGTGCTGCCATTTGACTCTCTGGCCTGATGAGGTGCGACAGAGATGTCAATTTTCTGGAACATTGCACAGATCACATATTTATGCAAATGCTTTTCTGTATCTACAATCAAAAATGGTCATCTCAGAGAAGGAAATTTACTAAGCCAACAGAAACCTCAATTTTTACAACTTAAATGTGGCTCTTTCCCTCTCTGACACCAAAATAGTTTCAAAAGCTAGGAAGTCATTAAGAATGGCTTGTCTGTCATTCCTACTTAGACAAGGTGTGGGATTGATAAGGACACAGAACAAAAGAATTCACTGAACAGGAAAAGGACCCTCAGACTAACAAGACTGTTCTTGAATCCGCATCGACCCCCTTTCCTGCCGTGACCGACGCCGCATCCCTCCCGTTTCTTTTGTTCATTCAAGTGCTATCATCATACCTGTTCTGCAGCTCTGTTGACACTAGCATTCTTTGAGTATAAGAGTGGTGTCTGATTTCATATGCTTGCTTTATTTTTCCACCGATTTGGCTCTCTCCTGAGCTTCCCTTTACTGTCCAATTTTGAATCTTGAACTACGTTTTATCTTTCTAAGCCTCTAGGCTGCATTAATTTCATTCACTCCACTTCAACCTAATATTCCACTGGGTAAGCTTTTCCTGTATGGTGAGACTAAACTTTTAACCTCATTCCTCAGAACAACAAGTTTTCCTAAAACTTGGATCAACTTGACAGCCTCCTGTTGAATTGCCTCAGGGGTGAGAATATTCTTCCAGTTGAAAGGTAACCAGAACTGGAGACTATATTGTAAATAAGCTTTTAGTTAGGTGTGAGGTCCCAAGAGCCAATGGTCTAGAGCCATTTGGTATGAGTCCTGAAAAGCACCAAGCTTCTTTGAGGTTTGTCTACATTCAACTTAGGATACATGTGGAATTCTCTCACATCTAAACTGAATCTTTCCTTCTCAGGGACTCAGTCCATCCTGCACATGCCAAAGGCTTCTTATTCTTCTTATAGTCTGTAAAAGTGCTTTCACCGATCAGCTTAGGTCATCTGTCCCCCAAGATCTTCTGCACAGAGGGACACTCAAACCAATAACTATGTCTTCTTAGAATCATTTCGGAATGACTGATAGGAAAAAAAAATTGCCATAAAGAGGCCGAGGCGGGTGGATCACAAGATCAGGAGATCGAGACCATCCTGGCTAACACAGTGAAACCCCGTCTCTACTAAAAAAGATACAAAAAATTAGCCGGGTATGGTGGCAGGTGCCTGTAGTCCCAGCTACTCAGGAGGCTGAGGCAGGAGAATGGCGTGAACCCGGGAGGCGGAGCTTTCAGTGAGCCAAGGTCGTGCCACTGCACTCCAGCCTGGGCCACAGAGCGAGACTCCGTCTAAAAAAAAAAAAAAAATGCCATAAAGAAAATTTGAAAAAAAAAAAATAGGACACATCAGGTCTCAGAACACTGATATCCTACAGCAAGACTAAAGGGAAATAGAGCTTTATATTATGTTTTGAATAAGACTCAGAATGGTCTCAAAAATGGCCCTTTGCTCAGCAAAGGCAGGTACTAGCTTGAAAGAGGCCACCAGTGGTTCCATAGAGGGCGTAGTTCCACCTGTGCTGGTAATTTCTTTTTCCTCATTGATTTAGTGCCTCAAAACCTTCAATATCGCTTCTGTACCAGTGTGAAGTTTTCAAAGTGTTTGTTCTGGACTAAGGACTCCAGCATCCAATTAAAGCTCAATTGAGCAACATTTTTTGGTACTCTGCCTACAGGGGTTTGTTACCACAGAGAGCCTGATCCTGGAAATTAGACTTTAAATTTTCCATCACTCCTGAATTCTGGTATTTGTTGATGATAACATTAGTACTTGAGTTCTGTGCCACTTAAGACCCCTGTCTTGTGTATAATTTTCTGTACATGCATACACTGATGCACAGATTTATTGCATTGTGTGTTCATTCTTAGAGAGAAAGTGGTAATTATGCTCAAATGTGGGCCTGTTGGCCAAACTGCCTGAGTTTGAAACCTATTGATTACTAGCTGTGCGACCATAGGCAAGTTCCTTAACTTCTCAGTGCCTCTGTTCCCTCATTTTTAAAAATAAGATTAATAATAGGACTTCTTTCAAAGAATTACTGGAGAATTAACAGAGTCAGTTATGCAAAGTACTTATTAGTACAGTGTCTGGCACAGAGTAAATATCTAATATTGATGTTGTTCTTAACCATTCATTCATGCACTAAGTATTTATCAAACACTGTGCTAGACCCTAGGAGTACAATGATGAACAAAACAGATACAGTCCCCACCCTTGTGGAGATTGCAAATGTAGAAATGATAGCAGTTTGGCCGGGCGCGGTGGCTCACACCTGTAATCCCAGCATTTTGGGAGGCCGAGGCGGGCAGATCACAAGGTCAGGAGATTGAGACCTTCCTGGCTAAGATGGAGAAACCCCATCTCTACTAAAAATACTACTACTACTACTACTAATAATAATAATTAGCCAGGGAGGGTGGCGGGCACCTGTAGTCACAGCTACTGGGGAGGCTGAGGCAGGAGAATGGTGGGAACCCGGGAGGTGGAGCTTGCAGTGAGCCAAGATCACACCACTGCACTCCAGCCTGGGCGTCAAAGCAAGATTCCATCTCAAAAAAAAAAAAAAAAAAAAAAGACGTGATAGCAGTTCCTGGAGTCCAGGATCTTTGGAGAAGCAGAACGACATTGTTAGTGACTTGTGCAGACTAACCAGCCAAAAATGGATAATGAAACATACTTGAAGCTTCTAGTGAGTATTACTAAGCACGTTTTAAGATGCTCATTTTTTTATTGGTTTTCAGCCTTTCTGATCCTGTTTCTGAAAGTTCAGGGGCTACTCAGTAAGTAGTACAGAAATATTGTGTAAATATGAGAAAACTACTATTGACCTATTAATATATATAAAATAACCACAAATATGTCGTCTTCTTATGTGAGAATTTTTAACTTAAAAATTCACAAAGGAAGGATTAATGAAGTAGTCATCCTAACGTGCCAAATTTGTAACCACATCAAATGGTCAATCCACTAAAAAAGCAAAACAAAAGAAAAAAAAAGCAAAGAGATTTTTTTCAGTCAAACAAACAAAAAGTCCCTTTTTTTTCTGCAGAGCATCTTGGGAAATGGGATAAAGGGACACATTCACAGACCCAAATCAAGTATTTTTCATGAAAAGTATCTTGGCTTAAACTCTACTAGCTGATGTTTACTCCTTTTTTTCCTTGCTACACTGTTTGTCTTTAACATTCATTTTTCTTTTTCTTCCCATTGTATTTTTAATCTCCTCAGTTGTGATTGGTTTTTGTTTTATTTACTTAGATATCTGATATTTATTCCTAATCTTTATAGATATCAGGGAAAAATCATAGGTTAAAACCTAGAACTAAGAAAGCAATAACTTCAAAGAAGTCCAACAAGCTAGTTAAAACAACACCTTCCTCCCGTAAAAACATGTGGCCTGTTTCTGATCAAATTACCATATGCTTGTCGAGTTGTCCTCCCCACCCCCCGCAAACTTTTCCTAATATTTTTCTGTAAATGATGTTAAGTTAAATGGCCTATAATTGCTTGCTCTATCTCATAGCCCTGTTTAGAATAATGATATGTAACACTTTCCAGACCTCAGGAACCTGATCTGTCATCAGAGGACTTATATAAATGCCAGTCAGAGCTTCCCTCAGCTCTGTCTCTGCGTTTGGGGGTGAAAAGCCCTCAACACACTCACCAGCCTGGCCTTTTGTCCTGAAACTGTCCCCCTTTTCTCCCATAGCTGTTCTCACCACCTTCTCACACTTCCCCTCCCAAAGCAGGAAATTAGATCCCCCCACTCTATCCCTTCATCTGTACCAGCTCTGTTAGAAGCCAGTCCATCCCTCCCGCTCCTGCTCCTTCTGACCTCTAAGGCTCTAATCCTCCCCTCCACCCCTGCTCTTCTTTGTTCCTTTCTCTGACCAGCGGGAGCCAGGGTCAGAGGATGTGGAGAGAGCAGATTAAGGATGAGTGCCTTTCTTCCTGCACTCTTGGGCCTATAGAAAGAGAGGCGAGACTACTCGTTCTGTAAGGTCCCTTCCCATTTTAATATCCTGGCATCCTGTGCTCCCATAACTTTTGGACCACAGTAGTGTGGAATGCTGATCAGAATGCTTCCTCTTTTGTAATTATTCTCTGAACTTCTTACTGCTTGTATTTTATAAATAGTTTATATCTCTAAATCACTGTTTATATATTTTAAGCCTCCCTCTTAGGCTCCTCATACTAATCTTTATATCCTTCCTTAATCACATTGGCCTTTCCTGCCCTTTTCCTTCCTTGGACTTAACCAAGGGAGCTTTAAGTTTCAGTCTCTTCAGTTGATTCTTAAATATTCCACTGTTTGTTTTCCATACTTCATAGGATCGCATACAAATCCCCAAGGGCCATATAACATTCCTCCTGAAGCCTGGGTTCTTTCCTCGGTTGCTCTCCCCCCTCAAGAGCATTTCATATCTAATGAAATAGTAATTGTGTACTGATTGTAATAACCCCAACTTCCTCCTTTTTTCCTTGAAGTTTCTTTTCTTATTATCAGATCTAGATTAAAATGATGTCATTAAAGACTCAAAAATCTTTATGGCTATACATAGCTATGTATCTTCCCTTATTTAAGAATATTTTTTGATTTATCCTTAAGTCCTTCTGGTATTCCTAGTGCAGATATGTCCATTACTTGCACCCGTGAGGAATTCCTGCAACATCTGTACCTTTTTTCCATAAAGCTATCCAGGTGATGGCTGACTATCCTCATTTATAATCATAATGCAGACTTATTGACGTCTACAAAATAAGTTTCAAAATCTTTTTATCGTCTTAAAAGTCTGTTTTAGCATCTGCATCAACTTTCCATAGGAGGAACAATTAGTTGTTGAGCTCAACTTCTACCTAAAGTAGCTCTGAAGTACATCACCTAAAGAATAGAATTACTTATGAGAGATCCATTCGTCCCTGGTGTGATTACCTGTTCCATCTTTATTTTCATCTTTGGCCGATGACCTCTGTATTCGGAAATCTAAAAAATCCCTCTCTCTTTTTTTTTTTTAAACAAATCAGCAGTGCTCTTCCTGTTCCACCAAGCCTTATTTATCTTCCAAAATAACAGCAATCCAAAAATCTGTGTTCATGGAGATTTCACAGATAATACTGCCTGTGGTTTCTCTCACCCCGTTCTGCCTCATGCTCTCGATAAAGTTAATTATTTTTTATCAAATTTGATTGTTTTCCCAGCACCTTCTTTACTTGAAAACAGTTGCTCTGCAGACACTAGAATATTCTGGGGCTGAAATGTAGTCATGCCCATCTACCGTGGGCTCTGCGCCACCTTTCTCACCCTGCATGCCTTCTCCCACCACCTCACTGCCCACACCTGTGGCTCATGCCAGGCCGGCTTCTCTATCCACTGTTACATCTAGTAGCAAAGGCAAAAACTCGTCTGGCTCCTTTTGTCATTAACTGCCAAGGTGATAGGTCCACCACTGACGGGCTTCCGTCCCAACTTAGTAGCTCTGATCTGCCTCCTAGACAAATGCTTACCAGGTTTGGCCCATCAGTAAATACCTGGTTTCATTCCGCTGTTACTCAGCAATAGGAACTGTCCTTAATAGCAAAATCTACCTTGTACATTTTGTAATGCTGTCATCAATTTGCTAGTTTCCTGAGTAAATCAGGTATGCCTTGCCCCCATGAAAACCTGGTGTAACAATATCCAAACTAAAAAATAAGTGACTGTGTGTAGGTACTAAAAGATTCTGCAGGTTTTAGGATTTATTACAGGAATATTTTAGATAGTACATTGACCATGCACATTTAAAATATAATTCTGATTTACCTTCAGCTTCTCAGATATATATCAGTATATATGAGAAAATATATATATATGAAATATATATATATGTATATATATGAAAATACATGGTTGAGTTTTTAACATTCAATTTTGAAAAGAATGTTTATTGAACATTCCATTACCGTAGAGGTAAGTCCCAGTCTAACACCAAGAAATTTAAAGATAGATGAGATAAGGTCCTTGTCCAATAGAAACTCTCAGATGAAAGGGAAGCAGCTGCGAAGCTGCCGGGACAGCCCGGGGTGGGGTGGGTGTAATGAGGGACTCACGGAACCAGGGCAGCCCAGGCGAGAGAAACAGTGACAGGTGCCAGAACATGGCAGAGATGGAGACCATGGAATCAGAGTGGACTAAGGACATGTGGAAGAGAAGACAGAGCTGAGGTTGACTCCCAGGACAGAGGCTGAACCATGTAGGGTAGTGGGGAGGTGACGATGCTGGAACCCAGATCAGAGATCCAGCGAGAAGACTTACTTTGCAGGGGGAGGTGTTGAGGTGTTCCGTCACACTCCCGGTGCCTTCGGGATATCTGTGCTGCAAAATGAGGGAGGCAGTTGGAGCTGGAGGCCTAGTGTAGAGAAAAGAGGTCAGGGCTAGGGCCTAGATGTGCAAGATGTGCAAGAGCTGAAATCCTGACATACATAAACTCCCTGAAGGAGCATTTCTAGGGGGGAAAAAGAGTGTGCACAGGGAGCTGGTCGCAGAGCCAGGCAAATTCGAATTCCAGGAGGTAAGTCTCAGAAACATATTTTGAAAAAGTAGGTTAATAATTCACAGCATACACAAACTAAGCACTTGTATCTGAGAGCCATAGGGCCAGATTAATGTGTAAAGAGCTAATATCAAAGAGTTACATTAATTGGCAGATGATTACTTCATCTCAATCCAAGAAAAACTGAGTTTCAGGGGGCAAGCAGAGACCCAATTTCAAATCACTATGTCCTGGAAGTCAGGTTGCAAAGCATTTTCAAATTCTTAAAGATGAAAGGGCTTTTATAAGTGTAAGGTACTTTGTGCTGCATATTGTCATTTTATTAGTCATCATTATTAATTATCATTATCATATACTCTTGTGAAATTATTAGTTATCAAAAGACATCTTCTGAAAGGATGCTTTGGGCTCTTCAACTCCTGACATTTTTTATTTAAATATTTATTTTGTTTTATACCTATAGATCTTCATGCAGAAAAAGTTACTTGTTCCTTAGTACTGCCAGCTGTGTGCTTCTTGACCCAGGGGTAGAAAGGATGATCGTGGTGGAAGGTAGGGATATGCTGAATTGGTGATCGACTTCTGATTCTGCCTAAACGGTATGTTTCAAGGGAGTGTGACAGGCGCTGAGATCCAGCAAGCTCTACAGCTCCTCCTAGAACTGCAGTATCCCCAGTAGGCTAGAGAGCAGCCACCAAGGAAGACATCAGGCTATCATCTGCTTTTATCTGCCAACCACCCCCCATGCTCCTCCCTTGGAAACCTGTCTGCAAAAACCCATCTTTGTACTTGCTCCCTAGAGCCAGCTGAGTGTCACTTTGATAGTCTAAAATCTATGTTGGTTTACTATTGCTGATGTAACAAGTAATCACAAACTTAGTGGCTTAAAACTACCCAGATTCATTGTCTTACAGTTCTGGAGGTCAGAAGACCAAATGGAGTCCCACTGAGCTAAATCAAGGTGCTGGCAAAGCCACCTTCCTTGTTGAGGCTCCAGAGTTCTTGGACAGTGAGATTTTCTCTTGGCAGGGAATACTGAGTTAATCACTTGGAACCGGTGCTGGGCTAGTGTTTTCCATGGAATGGATAGCATGTTGTTAATCACTTTGCGGACTAAACCAAAATGGAAGACGCTGGTGCATCATCTATTTAAAATTGCATAATGTACACACTCAGAAAACACCGCTGATACATTTGGGCAACTGGAAATGAGGACAGGTCGTACTTGAGCCTGAGGGACAAGGACAGGCTTCCTAATAAAGGGGAGTTTTAGAGCAGGGCTTTGGAAAGATTTGTAATTAAAAGAGAGAGTTGGGGGACGGGGTGTAAGAACTGGGAAAGAATTCACAATTGGGGCAGGAGGTGCTGTGGGAATGAACCAGCCGCATGAACAGAGACATAGGCAGGGACTCTGTCAGGTGGAGTGGGTGGGTGGCCCAGTCTGGGAACCCTGAGAAGCAAGGCTGGTAGAGCCAATATCACCACACCCTGCCCTGGCCAGGCCTTCTCTCACGCAGCCAGCAGGCCACCCCTCTTCACCGCCTCACCTCCAAGCCTGTCTGTGCAGCAGCTTAGCCACTCCTCTTATTTGTACCTCCTATTTTCTTGCCTTTTTCTTTCTTGCTGTCACGAGTCTTAAAACCAGTCATATGTCATCATTAAACTCCACATGGCCACTATTCTGATACCATTAATCTGTCTTTTGATACCTGCCATCTGACCCCTGATGGGTTCAAATTCTGGAAGAGTGTCTCCTCACCTGTTCCATTAAGTTAGTTAAACAAGTTTTGTGTTTGAGACAAATTCTTAAACAGTTCCCAGCTGTTTCAGTGATTAAAAGGCAGAGCCAGGAATAGGGAAGGCCTTACTTTCATGAGAGAGATTTGTTTATAGCATAAACGTGGATCCTTAACAGTAACTCAGAGAAAACCAATCTAAAGATGTTTTTAATCTTTTTTTACATATTCTTCGACTTCATAATGAAATGTTTCCCTATTTTCCAGGGATTTTGTTGAGAATGAAATTAATTCTGTGTGAATGTTTTTCACAGTGGTATTAGAAAGACACTGTATATTTTAAATTCAGGCTGTTTCTATTATTTTTTGAAAAGAGGTCAGTGGAGAAAAATGTGCCTAACATCGTCATCTAAAACCTGCTGTTTGAATTTTGGGGAATTTGTCATTTTTTCTAAGGCAAGTTACTAAGGTATTGAAGTTAATAAGACGTATTTGTTTCTGAATCAGTTTTTGTTGTGGAGGATTAGAAAGTACTATAGTCCCTTATTGAAATTCTAAAATTTAAAAAGTATAGTGGTAGTTTGAATATGTCCTACTAGCTTGCATTATAAGTTTTAAAGTATGTATCTCAACACCTTTTATTCCCAGCTCTCAAACTTTTGAAGTCTTCTAGAAGCTCCTAACCTCTCCTTACTTCTGTTTTTCCTGCTACAACATAACGATGAGTATTTTCCCACTGATCTCAATAGGCATGTTGAAAAAACTGATGCAATATTAGTTACAAGACCCTGCACAAGTGTCAGCTCCTTGGTGCAGCCTGCACCTGTTCCCCCAGGCAGTCAGCACTTACCGCTTATCCCATTGCATTGTGATGGGTCATTTCCACCTGGGGTCCTGGGGGAAGAATGACATCGGAGGGCCTTGAAGACGACCTGGCACATTGTCAGGGGATAAAGAATGAATGAATGTGCACATTGCCAAAGAATCATTCTTATGCTTTACAGCCAGCTCTGATAGAACCAAAATTATTCAAACCAGTGTATTAAACTATTAGAGAGCAATAGTCTAAACTATACTAAATAGCAAAGGGAATAAAAATAATAATGTTCCTCTTTCTATTTGAGATTCCATGGCAAGATGAGTGTTAAGTTCACTCACAACTTACACTTGTATATCCAACCTTTGAAAAGGTCATATTTCGTTTCTATTGCTTTACCTCTATACATGTCTTTTCACTAATTCTTTCATTTCTGCCACTTTCCTGTCTCCTTATGTTTCTGCTGATGTTCTCTCCTTTTTTCTTCATCTGTTCTGAAACTCTTATTTTCATAGGTTCTGTTCGTTTCTCCACTTCCCTCTGCACCTTTCTTGTTGATCTATCCCAACTGTCTCACACAAGCTCAGCACTCCAGATGTGCTCCCTGGCTCCTCTCCACAGGAAGACCTGGTGATGCCATATTACAGCCACTGCAGCCCGGCTCCACCCTTAGACCACTAGGGCATGATGCCTCCGGCATCCACAGCATATGCACATTGTGGGAAAATCTCATAGTATCTTGAAGTCTTGGCAGACAGCATCAACAATAATGCATATGCAAAAGGCATCCAAGGTTGCTTCTGTCTGAAGAGAGTACGACTGCCAACTGGAGGCATTGCCGGCTCTGAGCCTCCATAAGAAATGCCCCATTGTCAGCCACCATCTTTCCTTTACCCACTCTGAGGCTATATTTGTGGAACAAAGTGTCACCTAGCATAAAAGACACTCAGTTCTCTGGCTTTCCCCATGACACGCGTTTCTCTGCTACTCTGAAACTTTCTGAATTACAAAGTGAGAAATAAGTTCTACTCAGTGAATGGCCATCATGGCTGGTATTGGTATCGTGGAACCAAGGTCTTCCGGAAACCTGGTGGCATGATATTCCTTTTTCTCTTCACCTAGAATCTTCAATGTTTTTCTTTTTTTTTTTTAATGTAAGTGCAAAGAACTTAAATATATGATTGTGTAAGATGATAGTCATTTAGAACAACATTTTTTAAATTTCTGAAAAAGTGAGGCCGGGCACAGTGGCTCACGCCTGTAATCCCAGCACTTTAGGAGGCCAAGGCAGGTGGATCACGAGGTCAGGAGATCGAGACCATCCTGACTAACAAAGTGAAATCCCGTCTGTACTAAAAATACAAAAAAATTAGCTGGGCGTGGTGGTGGGCGCCTGTAGTCCCAGCTACTTGGGAGGCTGAGGCGGGAGAATGGCGTGAATCCAGGAGGCGGAGCTTGCAGTGAGCCAAGATCATGCCACTGCACTCCAGCCTGGGCGACAGAGTGAGACTCCCTCTCAAAAAAAGTCTGAAAAAGTGTTGGGCTTATAGAGATTTTCCTAATAAGGTGTACAGTGTCTTCTTCTTTGCACATCCATTTTGGTGGAAAATTCAGTCAAATGCACTAGAATAGTCTTTGGATATGTTTTCTAAAACAAGTATCTAATTCCCACATGAAGAGAAATGGCCTGATTGAGTATGCCTGTCTTACCAAAACTGTTAACTTACAGTGAGGATGTGAAAAAATAAGAACTCAGATAGGCCCGTGGATCAGATGAATAAGAAAAAGAGAAGAGACTATGGATAAAAACAGTTGCTGATTTTCCTTTGAGATGTTTGTGCTTCATGCCGCCAAATTGAGATGAGAGAAAAGCCAATTTCATGCAGTTTGGCACAACTGTAAAATGCAGCACAAACACACGTACGTGTATGTGTGTGTGTGTGTGTGTCCCATTGATCCAAAAAGCCTGTTTGTCTATTGGCAAGACGAAATATTATCTTCATGCATCACCACCTCCTCCTAAAGGTAGGATGGGGATGGCCGTCAGTGCCAATACATTGTCTCTTCTTTCAGCTGGCGGGGGTGGGCAGTGGGAGGGAGCCACGGGGCGGAGACGCAGAGCAAACAGTGCCAGCACTGGATCCCGGCGTGGGCCGGTGGTGGGTGCCAGGAGCAGCCAGGGCCTGTGCCTAGTCGTCACATGTGGTGCTGAGCAACCACCAACTCTTCCCAGGAAGGAGGTGAAAAGATAACACACACTGGAGTCCAGTGGAGGCGAGGACACTTCATCCCACAGGGACCGCAGTGGCCAAGGGAATGGTTTTAATGGTGGTTTGACTTGGCATACTTATGAAAAGGCTAGCGCCCACCCGCTGGCCTGTGGGTTTATTTGGCAAAACATAAAACAGAGTCAGTTGCTTGTCCTTGAGAGTGGCCACTATGGATCTACCACATTTCTGACTTGTCAGTCTGACATCCGTGGCTGGATTCTACATAGTCTTGTGTTGATGGATTTGTTGCTTTGGGAGAAACGCAGATATGATGGCATGGCCTTCTCACTATCTGCAGCAGAAACGGCCTTGTGTCTGCCCCGTGTCCCTGGTCATCCACGGACATTGGTCAGGCTTTCTGATTCACACCACTTTCTCCTCAGCCCTCCAACTAAGTAATATTTATATTGTTCTGCTAACAACCTCTATTGAAATCCAAACTTAATAACCTATTGCTTGCTAGAAATATTCTCCTCTTCCTTTCTGCCTGTTTCATGATCTTGGTTTTTTTTTTAAAGAATTCAACCCTTTTGCTTTTTCCCTTTCTCCATCTTTATAACTTTTTCAGACAATTGAACTTCTGTCTGAACTTCTGAGCTTTCCGATACCCTCATACTTTGTGGTCAGCATCAGAGACATCAAAGTAAAGTGGGTATTTGTTTCAAACCCTGAGTTGATGATAAGCCATTATGTCTGCTGCGTCTTCTCTCCATGTGAGTGACATTTTGCACCCCAGGCTTAGTTATAGGGAGCAAGTTAGGAATGTGTGTTTTGCAGTTTCTGTTGTTTATGTAAACCATCGATATCAGTTTATTCATCTGAAGGAAATAAGAAAAAACACTTCAGTCAAAATAATTAGGAGCTAAGATAAGAACACAGCACTTCAAAGTTCATTTAGCTACTTACATCTTCTACTTTACACGTCATCTCAGCTTCCCTATCTCCTAAGTGAAGGATGATTATGATAAACTTCACAAAAGTAGTGGGAGGTTAAATTAGTGTTTGTGAAGCATGTTGAGATCTTATGATCAAAGATACCGGAGTATTGCAGAATAGTGTGATTACTATCAAAGAAAAGAATTCCTCAAACCAAGAGTCTGGATTAATCTGACTTAATTTTCCAGCATCTTCTGTATCTGACTGAATTTTCCAGCATCTTCTATACCTTCTATATCTGAAGCCCCAAACCTCCAATCTCTTGCAGTTTTCTCGTGATCTTAGAGTCCGTTTCTAAGCATTGAAGAGGGTTAGAGAGTAGGCTGCAGTCATAAACTTGTAAACAGAGGAGAAGTGTTGGGTGTTAATGAAGGCTCAGGCGAGGGGCCGGATGGGGCTTTGGGGGGCATGTTCGGCTGGTGACTGTGCAGTGCTGCTCTCAGCAGCCACCGTTTGGCTGGTGCTCGGGTGGGGCCTTCACTATGCCAGAAAAACTGTCCCTCCACCCAGCTCATTCCTTAGAATCAACAGGGACTTTCATCCATGCTGCACAAAATCGGACGGAAAAGATGGCTTTCCACAAGTTTCCCAAGTCACTTAAGGGGCACGGAAGGGGTATGCAGGCAGCCGGGGTGTCAGAGGCAAAGACAGGCTGATAGCACAGAGATAAGCAAGGTGGATGGAAAACCATACCTAGACATAACGTGTGCAAAAATTGCAGAGTAGTATCTCCAAAATCACAGGCCACAAATACACAGATTTGGTGCAAACTGGCAAAATGAGTTTGTACATTTATTTCCCACCCATGTGTTTCATTTTGCCTGTAATCATCAGAGCTGTTGTGGATGGGTGGGTTACCCAAGTGTTCTTAAAGAGGCAACCCATTTCTTCTCAGGCAATACTACTACTTTAAGCAAAACCGCAGGCATCCTTTGTCAAGGGTGGCTACCCTAGTCCATGGTTCTTAAGCCTAGTACGTCAGACTCATCCAGAAAGCTGTTGAAAATACAGTCTTCCAGGATTCATCCTCAAACCACTTGAGCGGTGGACCCTGGAAACGTAGGACTCTGCAGGGATCCTGAGGCAGCCGGCTCTGAGGCTGGCCAAGCCTCGGTAAGTGGGGGCAGCTGTGCCCTGGGCTGCAGTCAGGGAATGATGCACACAGTTGGGTTGTCCCTAACCTTGTTGGTTTCATTCACCTCTTGAAGAATTAGATAAAAGCTGATTCCCCCCAGGGGAAAATGCTCAGAATACATCATGTATGTAGTTGTAGGGAATTGTGCCTGTCCAGCTGTCCATGCGGAGAAAACAAAGCTGAACTGCCAGGTCCGGCTCCTTTCTTCTCCAGCCCCAAGTTTTTGCTTGGCTTGGCACATCCTTTCATAGGTGTACGTATTTTGTAAATGTTCATGTCCAGTGATTAAAACTGTCATTGGTATAATTTCTGACGATATGTAGTCAACCCCTTCACAAGTCTGTCGTTAAGCCCTCCACAAACTCACAGGGGTGCTTTGGAAGAGCTTGACATCCGCCCTCCCCAATGGAACATAAGAGCCATTCACACCCCCGCCCTGCAAGGGAGGGTGTGCTTAGGACCTGGACATTGAGCTTGGCAGTATCACCAGATCATTTACCGATTGAAGTTAAATTGATGATAGAAATGTAGACGTCAAGATTTTTGTGCCTAGGTAGTCTCAGCTTCCCTGACCCCATCCTCGGAGAGCTCCAGGTCTAGGGGGACCATTCCCAAGGGGAACCTCAAAAGTGTATCTGCCATGTCAGGGCAGACGTGTGTTTTGGTTGTTTTTGGTGAAGCCCCAGAGGGCATTGTCCCTACACAGTTCTCTGATAGGCGGAAGCTCCATCAGGTCTGACCACAGCCTGGTTATACCACGGCAGGTCCAGAGCAGGTGGCTGCTCAGGGTTTAGGGACTGAATGAATGCCGCAGACGTGGAAAAGAAAATCAACTAGCTGTTTTAGGCATCTGATCAATCAGTGTGATTGGTTTCTTTACCAAGTTGATGAGTAGATCTGCTGTGTTCTCAGCAGTAATGTGGTTAAGCTTCTCAGGAATATACACATACACAAATGTTTTCCCCGGTCTGGTGGAGGGTAGTAATAAAAAGCAGAGCATTTAGAGACAAAGTCAACTTGACAGGCAGAGTGGAGGTAAACAGTCTTCCTCTGCAGGAGCAGTGTTGACAAGCAGTGATTCTTGGGAAGCGTACAGCTGTAGCACGGGCTCTGACTTCAGGGACTTCAGCAGTATAAAAACAATTTTTAAATACCCAAAGTCATTTATTTTAAGTGTACTTGTATGGTTTGGGGTTTTATGTTATCGGTTTATATATATGTGTGATTTTTATTAACTATTTCCAGAAATAATTCTGCAGTTAAGCCAAAAGCTGCTGCATGAAGCAAAAACTCTTCCTCCATAGATACCCTGCCTCAGTCGAGTTAGGCAGGTTTAGCCCAACCAAAGGACTGTATTTGTTGAGAGAAGAGACATTTGTTTTCTCCCCAAACTTCAAGCTCTGGTTTTGAAACATAACTCTCAGTCCCATCTCTAAATCCTAGTTACAGCATTAATTCTCAATAAGTTCTTCTTTTTGCACGTACTCTCATGTAAGCAGCAGTCTAAATAGCCATGTAAGGGCAGCCAGAGGAGTGGGTTTGTGCCTTGGGGAACAGAGGAGCCAAGGCCCACCCACGTTACTTGTCCACTTCTCCTTCCATCTGTGACAATCAGCTCCAAGCATTAAGGGCTTCTCCTGGTCCTGGGGGCCAGGCAACACGTCACCTCTGAGATGTTGGCCTTTGCCACCGTGGCTTCTCCAGCACAGAGCCTCATTGTCACTTCCTCCAGCTGCTCAGGGAACATGATCTTCACTGTTGTCATGTCAGATGAGGAAATTGGGCCACCAGGAAGCCGAGTGACTTGCCCAAGGTCACGCTGTGTGCTAGTGGCACAGCCAGTTTCCAGGCCGTGCTCCCCCACGAAGCCTCTGCAACTTTCCTCCCAGATCACGTGCACTGGGTCACCCAAAAACTTTGCCCTTCTGCACATTAGCCTCTAAGGACAGCTGCTCTAAGCACTTTCTAGCCAGGCCCCTCAGCAGCAGCACTACAAGGGTGGCTGGCACTCTGGTTCTGTAGACACTGTCTCCTGCCTTTTCTCAGTGCTGCAGTGGGTGTATCTGCACCTACTTAATGGTCTGAATCTATAAACCAGCAGTCAGACACCTGCTGTGCATTCAGGGGACATAACCTGTCATGCCTACCTGTGGAGCTGAGTCAGTGTACACGGTTCTCGGCAATCAGGGGACATCAGACAGCTGCACCCTCTTTTCCAGTGACACAGGCACCAGGTATGAAGGCTTTGAGGGATTTTCTGGAAGTAGGAAGGGTCAGGGCCCAACTGAACATGTCACCACAGCACCTGACAATGGCTTTTTGTCCTTTTAGTGTATGACTGGACACACTTACTTACCATGTAAAGGTGCTTCTTTTTTACATTTAAAACCCAAAGCTGTGAGATGCAGCGTACAGAGACGTGACCCCGGTTGGCCTTTTGCTGTTTCAGATGGCAGTACTCAGAGGAACGCCAGCCAGGCCCAGAGGCCCCCGGCGCTCACTGGCCTTTCTTTCATGTGCCCTTGGAGTTCTTAGAATAGACTATGAGATTTTAATTCAAAAGGAATATTCTACCAGCAGTTTATAATAGGCATGGTTTGAGGAAAACCCAAACCTGCTTTTCCCAAGATCTAAACCATTTGATGCACCAGTTATCTGATGCAGTGGGGCTCTCGCCCGATCCATTCTTTGGAGCTACACCATACTCGATTGTGCGGTGACTGACTTAGCCCCGGGCAGTTCAGACTTGGACCCACCGTGTGGCATGTTTGTCCTCGTTGCTGTTGCTGTATTGACAACGCCTTCAGAGGTGGTTTCGAGTGCAAGCCCCCTACCCGCCTTCCCTCCACTCCTCATCTGCCCTCCAGCTTCTCCAAACACGCTTCGCTGCCTGCTGGGAATGCTGCCTTGCAAAGGAGTGACGTCTCAAGTGTCGGGAAAGTTACAGCCTTCGAGTTGTTTCCTTCCCTACCTTTGAGATATACCCAGATGCCGCATTTTGTTTCACGCTTTTCTGTGGATGGTGAGCAAATGGCTGATTCTTTATGGCCCTCAGAGCCCCAGGAGGGTGTGGACAAGCACCTTTCCCACTTGATACTTCTGGATATTTCCTTTCTATGCCATTAAAATCGGATGAGTGCTGTATTTGTTTTTTGTTTATTTGTATTTCATTTATTTATACCTTACCTTACTCCAGAAAATGTTTAATAACGCATGTGAATAGTAAGGATGTAGCCTAGTTTGTGAAGTCTTTGGTGCAACAACAGATTTGGTACTTGAAAACCTTTTTCTCCCAGAAAGCGTGTTTTAAATGATACGAGGGCCCCAGCCCTGCCAACACAAGCCTATTTTCCCAATAACATGCCTGAAATACTAATGAAAATATTTTAACTGCGTCTAGTTACCATATGTAAAATTGCTTTCAGTGCAAGCGCACTTTCCAACGTCCAAATCTGGGTGCTACTCACATGTGTCTTTCAGAAGAGTGGGTGAGTGGCAGAGCTCCTCCCAGGCCTGTGTGTGGTGGGCCATGCCAGGCTGCCTGGGAGGAGGAAGGTGGGGAGCTCCTCCCAGGCCTGTGTGTGGTGGGCCATGCCAGGCTGCCTGGGAGGAGGAAGGTGGGGAGCTCCTCCCAGGCCTGTGTGTGGTGGGCCATGCCAGGCTGCCTGGGAGGAGGAAGGTGGGGAGCCCACCTCCATCTGGTTGCTCACCCTGGACAACGCCATGGAGGAGAGGGCTCTGGAGCAGGGCCTTTGAGAGAGTGTCCTATGATTACTTCTCTCAACTGTGTGGCTGTTCAGTCTGTCACTGAAGCCTTTCCTCCCCTCTTCTGTGAGACCAAGAAGTATTTCTGAGCAATACATAGATAGATGGATCAACAGATAGATATTTTTAAAAATCAGAATATTTTCAGCTCACATTTTGACCTCAAAACCTTATGACTTGGTTTTGCTTCCTTAAAGTCACATTAAAAAGTATGGTTAGCAGAGACGTGGTTCTGGTGAGCACAATGGAGATGTAATTTTAATTCCTTCTATTCACAACCAACACTAATATTGAAATTTTGGGTAAGCAACATTTGAGAGGCACTGAAACTTGAGATTCACTTAACTGCTAAAATACTACTCTGTTATCCACAAACTACCAGTTATAAATGTTTCCGTGCCTGATTCAGTTGACAGCAAGAGACTTCGGAAGGCTATAAGTTAGGAACCAGTATGAGATGCCAAATGCTTCCTTGCCTTCCCGAAAATACTGCCATGAGAGTAGGCCTTTAAAGCAATTTCCTTCAGGTTTAGAGATCTGTTCGACAGCATAGTGTCCAACCATAGGGGATAACTGAGCACAGTCCTTCCAAATGCCACCATGCAGCAAATCCATTAAAGTCCGTGTCCATTCAGACTATGGAGTAGTAGCTCAGGGAAGTGTCTGGGATAAAATGATGGGTGAAAAAAGAAGCATAAAAATGCGCAAACAGTATGATCACAACCATATAAGGAAACCTACACACAGGTGAGCAAACGCTGGGAATCAGCCACGTGCTGCGGACGCCTCGTGCTCCCAGCCTCGTTCCAGCAAAACTGTTAACAGCAGTGTTGTGTTCATGATGGGCCTGCGAGGGGTTCTCCTCCGCTGGTTTGTGTTTTCCAAATGTTCATTAGCGAACATGTGTGACTTTACAACAAAAAGAAAACAGTGGTGAAGTATGTTAGTCAGACTTCAGCATCGTTCTCATCAGTTAGAATAAAGAAACGCATGAGGAAAGAGACAAGTATTTTTCACAGGCCTCAGGTTAGAACACATGGGCAGAACAGCATGGACACTTCCCTTGACTCCCCTGTTTGCCTTGCTGCCCCCACCTCTGATCAGTCACTAAGCCTGTGCTGCTGCCTCTGGAGTGCCTGCCTTTGTGGCTTACTTCTTGTATTCCTGCCTCAGCACCTGCCCACCACCTCCCCTCAGAATCATCAGCTGTGCCGCGATGGTGCCAGCACACCGCACACATCTGATCATACACAATATATACATCTGATTAATATACAAAACCATAACAACCCTTGAGAATCGAAATGAATGAAAATCTGTTCACTTCATTCATTGCCCCAACAATTTGAGGCCTGCCCGCTATAGTACCAATCATTCTATTTCCTCCCATATTAGTTCCAACTTCCAGGCACCTTATCAACAACCGGTTAATTGCTATTCCACAATGACGAATTCAACTCACCCTAAAACTTCTTCAGGGCTTAATGCCCCCCAGATGCACCTGTTCTTGCAAGGGCCTTCCTGCTGCGCCGCCACCCTTCTCATTGCTGTGTGGGTCTAGCCCCAGATTGCTGGGTGCCCAGCCGCCTGCCAGGACTGCAACTTGATGGTCATTCCTGCCCTCCCCAGTTCCCAAACTCTCCTGAAGCTACCTCTCCTCCTCCCTCAGGTCTCAGGTTTACTGGAACTTCCTCTGGAAAGTCCTCCAGCTTCCCAGGAGTGAGCTAGACGTTCTCTCTTCTGTTGCCATGGACACCCACACTTACAGCCCCACACCATGCGCAGTCCATTATCCGTGATTCCAAAATCCAAAGAGCTCAGGGAAAATCAAAACTTCCCTTAAAACCCATTCTCCTACAAAATCTGGCCCAACCTGACACAAGACTAATTATGTAGTCTGTCTTCTTATCACTTACTGTAACTGTTCATACATTTTGCTGAAGGAATATTCACGTTTGATTATGGTGTGCTGGCCAGATGGTGCTGGGGCTGCTCAGAAAGATGGGATTAGGGTAACTACAAACTTACCACCTGCCTATCGAGAGTACAAGGGGCAGGGGACAGAGGCAGCACCAGGACAAGCCTAACTCAGCCTGTCCTGGCAGCACAGGGCAAATGTCCACCTGTGTGTTTTGTGCCCATCACCTTGTGTCTCTACGAGCCAAAACATCTCAACTCCAAGCTCTCCGGAGGCTTTGGAAAGGCTCTGTGCACCTGTACTCTGATTATTTGTGTCTATTTCTACCACTGTCTTTTTGGCTCTTTAAGCATAGGGAAGGTGTTTTGTTCCATTTGTATCCCCAGTGCCTGGCCTGACATGTGGTCAGCTATCAACACTTACTGGTCAAAATGTTCAGTAGTCATCGCTTTGTCGTTTAGTGGTATTTAATAATTATCTATAGAACTAGTATCCTACCATCAAAAGTTACTGAGGTGGGAAATTTCCACCTTGGCTTTCTTCAGCATTTTCAACATGAGTAGTACTATTAAATGCTTTAATAACACAACCATTCAATGACTCAGTTTCAAAGGTACTTTTTAGGAAGAACAAGTATGTACTTGAACCCTCACACCCCTCACCCCCGCCCCCCTCTCCACCGCCGCCAAAACAATAGAACAAATGCTGTCATAGCCAGGTGGCCTTAATATTAATCCACAAAGCAAGCTCCACGCAGGCAGGGACTGTGTTTATTACTTCCAATTTACGTATTTCTCTTCTCACACATGAAAATACCCACAACAACGGAAGTTCAGGAGTGAGCACTTACCGCGTACGTATTACACACTGGACACTGTGCTCAAAACTCCCGGTGCATTTGGTAATTTACTCTTTTCAGTGACATCACAACACAGATATTTTCACGCTCCGCATCCACCTGTCCTGGCCCTCTTCCTTTCTGGGGTGTTCCTTTAATTTTTTGAAGTTTCTTTCTAGTTGGTCTTGCTGATTTCCTCCTTTTGCTCCAACAGACCATCTTGAATGGTACTCCCGTACTGACCTTCCTTCCTCACAGACACGCTCTTGCTCAGTTACCCTCAGTGGCTCTCTGTTGCCCACCCCCATGGAGCCCACACCACTCTGCCAGCCTCAGAGTGCCCAGAACCTGGTTTCCTGTGCATTCCTCAGGCAGGGCTGCCTTACCCCCACACCCACCCCGCCTTGAATCTCAGTGCCTTTATTCAGGCTGCCCCCACCCCTGCGGTCCTCTTTCTCCTTCTGATTGCTCTGTTACATTTACAGCCAGCAGCCCCAAGTCAGCCTGGAGACAACCTTGTGTTGTTGACTCACTGTATCATCAGCGTTGATCTTGTCCCCTTAGCAAAAACGTTAACTTGTTGGAGTCAAGAACGAGGTCTTGTCTTGCTGTCATATCTTCCTCGTGCCTGTCACTGTGGCAGACAAATGATAGGTGATGATGAATAGGGTGATGAATGAGCCTTAGAAAGTCAGGGTGCACAGACTTTCAGAAACACATAATCTGGTTTGCAAGGACAATGTTCTTAAATTCATTTTTACAAGAAGCTAATGCCGAAGGTGAAAGAAAAGGAAAAGAGAAATATGATTACTCTAAGTCTTAAACATAGATCTGAACATCAAGTTGTGGGAGAAATACAACTTCACAGTGTGCCAAAAATAAAACAGCCTTGGCCCTGCGGCCACTGGTGAGCTGAGTGCGAACCAAGCCTGTGCCATGGGGTCCTCAAGTGCAGCTCAGCCCTGGGCTGCTTTCACACCAGTGTGATGCCCAGGAGGTGAATGATGTCCCCACAGTACACCTGGCAGCTGTGGGGCAGGACACCTCGGCAGATGCCAGCAGGCGCATCCAGGCACAGTGGCCAGCGTGCTGCCCCACAGCTTTATTGGGGAGTAGGGAAGAGGATTGTATTTCTTTATTTATACAAAGTAGCTTTGAATGGACTTCCACCCAGCACAGAAAAAGCCGTATAAAAAAGCAACTTTAAGTTTTTTTTTTTTCTTTTGAATGCAAGTCTCTAACTAGCTGAGCTACAGACTTCTCTTTGGTATGACAAGGCATGTTTGGATATGCTGTGTTACCACTTTCGGGTGGAACTGGAGATAAGAAAGGTGAAGTCAGGTAGCAACTGTCTGCCTTAAGAATATTTACAAACTATCAGTTAAAACATCTGCTCTCCCTGAGGAAGAGCAAGAGCCAGAGGGGTGGAGGCAGGGACAGAGGAGGCAGAGAGAGAGAACAAAGTGAGCACACCCCATTTACCCCAGCTCACTTTTCCCTACCATGCCCTGTGCCCACGTAGCCAGCATGCAGGAACTCCTCTGTTTCACACAGGAGTTGCCGACACCAAGGAACCCACTGCATGTGCTTGTCCTCATTATGCTTAAGAAAGATCTCGGCTTCCTTCCCCCAAAAGGTGCTACTGCAGCTGTAGCTCAGGGCGTGTGTTTTGTTCAGCACTTCAACTCATCTCTGCACATGTGGACTCTGGTCCAGTGGCTTAGGAAATCCTCACGGAGAGTGATCTGGGATACAAACCCCAGCAGTCATAAGTCAACATGATGTATTGGCCCTCCTCTTAGCGAGGGTTGGGGTGGAGCTGTCACAGAGCCGAAGTTATCTTTCACAGAGAAGCGATTTCCCCAGATTGAGGTTAGGGTCACCAGATGGGCAGTGAGGCGGACATTATCTGCTATCCAATGTCCAGAGCTCCAAGACCCTGAGTGCTGATGGCTTAAATGCATCCGCCTGAAACCTTGCAGAAACTTTCCTGCTGAAGCTCTTAAGATCTCCCCAGGGTTCCCAACAGGTGGCCACCACCCTTATCAACAGTAGTATTAATGCCACCACAGCTGGGGGACCCACAGAGGGACAACGTGGTGGCTTCTCTCCAAGGCTCTCTGTTATCTTCCCTATGGAATGAGCTTCAGTCATAGCAAGTGTGGATCTTTTTGGTGCTGCTTTCTCTGCCCTCCTAACTACTCCTCCCACATACAGTGAAATTATAAAACCGAGCCAGAATCAATGCTATCAGGAAAGGGTTCTGCACATCAAGCTCTTAAATGGGCAAAGAATATTTTTAATCAAGACTCTGGGTGAGAGAACAGAATACAGTCTCATGTTTTAGGCCAGGCTATGCTCTGACTGAAGTGTGTGCTGCTTTCCCTCTGCCCTGACTCAAACCAAGGAGCCATACCAGGCATTCCTGCCACTCTAAACGTCTGTAATTCTCTCCAAGGCTCTCTAGCAGTGCCTGAGTTAAGCTGCACCTTTACGAAGAGTCGGAGTCCAGCTACTGCTGTCAAAGCTCGAGCTTGCATCAGGCATTGCTGAGAAAACCGCCAGCTCTGACTGGCGTTGTGGCGCCTTTCTTCCAAACTTTCCTTGTCTTAAAGGGGGCATTCCAGTTTCTAGTTCGATAATACCCAAGAGAGGCGTGCGTCATTTGAGAAGAATCTCTCACACCCCCATCGCAAAAATGTTGGCCATCTGACATTTTATAACATCATGTCTGCCTGTAAAAGGCAAACTCCTGTGTTGTGAATCAGCTTTCAGCTACTTTGGAAGAACTACTTCTCTTTGAATCAGAACATGTTTCATTCCATATAAAATTGTCATACCTGTCATCAGTAAACAGAAATAATTAGTTGTAAGGAACTTACTTTAAACTTACAGAAATAGGCACATTTATAGAGGTATGGAAAGGAAGAATTTATAAATACATTTATTTATTATAATAAATATATATTATTTGAAAATAAGACCTCTGCCCCAGTGACCTTTGATTTAATGGATTAACGTTGGAAAATAAAATGTAATAAATTATTTTTAGTTTTGTCATCACAGACCACGCTATTACTCCCTCAGAAATTTGAATACGCATCTTTTCTTTTTCTTTTTTTTTGAATATGCACCTTTTCAATTGTACAGACTTGCCTTTAAGCTCAAACACTGCCCTAATTAAGGACTGAAGTTGCTCTGTCGATGAATGGGAAAGTGTCAGAGTAGATGCGGGTCATGTGTTTTGAAAACATGTAAGCAGGCAGTGTTTAACAAGGGTGGAAAGACACACTGTGGAGACATTGGGTTGAAGGACAGAACTTTGGTCATTATTTTATTCTCTATGGGAAGGAAACATTATGTATACATAATGACACAGTGAACAATGAAAGAAATGTAGCCTGTATTTTTTAAATAATAAGTGCCATTTATGTGTGGAATTGGGGTCAGCTGGTTAATTATAAATGAAAGCTTAACACAAATATAGTTTATCCCTTCGGACAGATTGATGTACTCCACGCTAAGGGAAGGGAGGGAGAGGCAGAGAGACAGGAAGAAATGAAGGAGGGCAAATGGGTTTAGCAAAGGCATGCGCTGTAAATATGGGAGGCGGGTATCTAGTCATTCTACAGTTAATTACCTAAAGATTCCTGAACCCAGACTTTTTAGTCCCTGGTTTGTCACCCCGGCGGCATCATCAGCCTGAGCTGGCTTCCTGGGATTTTGCACTTCACTGTTATGATTTACGAATAGGATAAGTTATGACTGACCCTTCTTGACTCCTGCCACCTGTCTGTCAGTTATCTTTTAAAGTACAGTTAGGGTCTCGGATTTCCAGAACTGGGGCTGGGATGGCCTTTGAGTGTCAGGCATTCCTGTTCTTGGTGGAGGTGGACTGCTCAGCCTCAGGTCCCAGTGCTGGGCCCGAGGAGGGACAGCGCGAGGTGTGCTGGCACCTGCAGTCTTCTTTCTTGCCACCGCATAGGACATCACTAGACAAAAGACATCAAAATCAGATGCTGTTGTCCCACGTTGCCATCTCTCTCCTCAAATCAGTGTCCCAATATTCAGGCCGACTTCGGTTCATCCTGTTTTAGCTGTGCCCACTAGAATTTAAAATGTGGCCGTGCAGCTCCTGACTCTGCTGAGGGTGCCTCGGAACCAGAAGACTGTAGAGCTGCTTTTCTCCCAGGGGAGAAACTAATGATTTGCAGAAGCTAGTAATTTAGAGTCTATGGAACTTGCCCCAGGCTCTCCCTTCCCTCCTGCTTTCAGTGGTACTGAGGAGCTGTATTTAATCTGAACAGAAAATTCCATTTTCTTCTGATGATTTTGTGACTATATGAAAATGGAATTAAGGGATTGTAGATTTCTTCCCCACAAGCATATTTTAAAATCCAGAGTAAAAATAAAAACTTTCGCAGAGTAATTGAGAATAAAGGTGAGAAGTTTTCTAATAATACTTTAAAAAATTCTCATATACAGATAAATTAGAAGAAGCATGAAGACTTTTCCTTAAAGAAATGTTCCTTTCCCTGCACTTTGAATAGATGGACAAAATTAGTATGCAGGGACAGATCCAACTTTTGTGGGAGCTCATACACTTTGGTGTCGGTGCGGAGGGGGTGGTTCTTCTATAGAAAAAGAATGCAAAAATATCTCCCTTTTGCAGAATGTTCACATTCTGCACGTGTGAGCTGCTGTTCTCCTCACCTGGGCCTGGAGAACATGGGTGAGATGCTGAGCCCCAGGGCTTAGGCCAGCTGCCTCTGCGTATGGAGGCTGTGTGTGCCCCTCAGCTGTGCCAGGGAGGAGTCACAGCAGACGGCGTGCTGCCATCCTAATCTCTGTGGCACACAGGAGAATGTCCCCACCCCCAAGGAAGTCCCCATGCTAATTCTAGAATACGTGGCTATGTCACCTTACATGATAATCCAGAGACTTTGCAAATGGGATTGAGTGAAGGGTCTGGAGATGGTCCTGGATTTTCCAGGGAGCCCTAATGGTAACCACAAGGTCCTTATAGGAGGAAGGCAGGAGGGTCAGAGTCAGAAAAGGAGCAGTGAAGACGAAGCGGGGTCAGGGTGATTCAAGGAAGGGGCTGCGAGCCAAGGGGTGTAGGCGCCTCTAGAAGCTGGACAAGGCAAGGGAACGGGTTCTTTCCGGGAGCCTCTAGAGGCAGCCAGCCCTGCCCACACCAAGAACGTAAGAGGATCGACACGTATTGTTTTAAACCCCTACACCTGCGTTAATGTGTTAGGCTGGACTGGCTCCAGCCTCTCCCCTCTAGCCTCTCAGCAACCTCCACAGTTAGGCCCTCCTGGAGACCCCTCCTGGCTGCCTCAGGCCATCTCCTGTACATCCCTCCTCCTCCCCTCACCCAGCTTGTTCTTTCTCCCCACCCCCATCTTCCTTATTTTTCTTCTTTTCTTTGCAACCTCAAAACATAAACCCTCAAGCTCATTTCCGCAGCCTGATGTGCAGTCTTCCTCTCTGTCTTGTGTCTCTCCTCTCACCCATGCCTCCATGGGGGACAGAAGGCTACACCGTGTGGCTCTGGCAGCCCCTCACTCCACACAGTGTAGGCATGTGCTGTTCTATCACACATGGACACTAAGAGATCTTGTCAAGTAGACAGAGACTAAGAGGACCTATGTGTTCATGACACTTTTTAAAGGTCTGAGCTGCCCATTCAGCTTTGCATGAAAATGGAGATTGGGAGTTTTGACCACCCCATGACTGTGGCTTGTTGTGAGTGTCTGCTGTGAAGTGGCACTGCCTCTTCACAATATCGTTGGAATTCCATTTGGCCAGGTGACAAGAAAGTATTCACAAGCCTAAGGAGGAACTTATCTGCTCCTTCCTGAGGAAATATGTGCCCCCACCAAAAAAAAAAAAAAAAAAGGGAAACCAGGCCTCAGTGTGCCACAGAGCAGCACTGCCACTGGAGGCCGCCCTCTGTCCAGGGTCGCGCACACGTGGGCACTGGGGCCGGATGGCCCCCATGCCTGCCCTTCTCAGAGTGGGCTGTGCTGCACTCTGAGAAGCGTCTCCACCTCAATACCAACCCTGTAGACTTGGCTTAAAGCAGCGGTCCTGACTCAGCTCACCTCCCGGCCATCTCATTTCCTTACTCGGGAGAGCGGTGATTCTGTGTATTTTTCTAATAAGCAAAGTCCCCAGAGATGAAAGAAGCCACCACAAAATACTCAACTCTTTCTGGAAACAGAAGAAAGACTGCTGCCCCTATTTGCAGGGAGGGAGGATGTTCTTCCCGAAACACCTGAGTGTGTGTTTGGACCACACGGGTGGAGGACAGTTCAGGGAAACCAGGTTTGCGTTTAAAAGATCTTGGTTCCAACCTCATAGGTGTTGTACACCCATTCCAGGCCTTGTCTCCAGCGCTACCTCACATGTATACCAGCTATAAATACTGCAGTGTATGTATATGTGTAGATACACACAAAGCTAAAGTATACATTCACCAAGATAAACTGTGCTTGCCAGGGCTTTAATCTCCCCAGGAGGCTGTTATTACTGGAGTCCGGCCCCAGAGCGCCAGCTGAGGAGAGGAAGTGAGACTCTGGTGTTGGGAGGCTGGGCGGCGCTCCTCTTTGTCTACTCTTTGCTTTTTAGAACATATACATAGCTAGCATTCACATGTGGCCACAGATGAAATGATATGCTTGACTCCCCTAAAGGTGCCTTTCTTGTCAGTGTGTTACTTTACGGAGATACTTTAACCTTGATCGTCCGCAGCCATACTGGATTCCCATGGAACAAGAGAGCAGGAAGTGCTTCCATCATATTTTCCCCGTTCAGTTTGAGCAATCCAAAATGGAGGGATCATGACAAAGGAAGAAAGCTTCCTCTCGTGAGCTTGCATTGTTTTAGTTCTCCTTGGCATCTAGTCTGACTTCTACTTATGGTCTGGACCAGTGGTTCTCAGACTTGCACAAGCATCAGAAACACCCAGAAGGCTCATTCAAACCCAGATTCCTAGGCCTGATTCCCACAGTTTCTGACTCGTGAGGTGTGCATGGTGCCCCAAATTTGTTTTTCTAACAAGTTCTCATGTGACGCTGATGCTGCTGGCCTGGTTTGGGGACCATACTTTGAGAACCATTGGTTCAGAACATGAGGCTGCAGCGCGCCAAGGTTTTTGCATTGTTTTCTATTAAGGAATAGCCTATAAGAAATAGGTTTCTAGCTTTTTAATTTTGTTACCAGCCTAGACTCTATGATTGACAGGGTGACCAGCTGTCCCAGTTTGCCCTGGGGCACAGGATTATTCTTGCTGAAAATGAGAAAGTCCTGGGCAACCTGGGATGAATTGGCCACCTTCACTATTGATCCAACTTCCCAAATGCTTTGTCTACATTGCTGGTATCTGGCTCGGAGGAAGCCCTGTGGGAAAGGCTGTGAGTGTGTTGCCCCAGGTTCCACAGGACACTTAGAGTTTGGGGGACACCTGCCGTCAACGCACTGCAACAATCTTTAGGGATGTTAATTGTTCCTCAGGAGGCATACGTAGGAATCACATCCACCTTAAACATGCCCACTTATGGCATTTGGGCTCACACAGCCAAACAGCTGCCATTGTCTGAAGTAACGCATGGGCTGTTGGGCTCCTACGGTGTGACAGACATACTTCTCTGCATCATCCATGTACCAGCCTGTTTTCTTCTCACTGCAGCCCAATCAGCTAATTATCATCATTTCCATCTTTCAAAAACAAATGCTTAAAGATGCCATTATTTACCCCAGGGTCACAGATGGTAAAAGTGACAGAACCACAGGCCAAACACTTGTTGTTTTACCATGTGACTCCAAGGAGCATGAAATCTGAGGCTCTTCATCCATGAGATTTTCCAGCCACTCACGTCCCTTCCTCTGTTGGAGATGAAGCCTCTCCAGAGTGGAAGGCAGTGGACCTAGCTTGGATCAGGATGCCTGGACTTTGCTCCTGCTTCTTCCAGATACCGGCTCTATGACTTGTATCAGGTCATCTTTTAACCCCTCTGAGCCTCACTTTCCGCATCTGTGAAATGGACATCATAATGTCTGCCTTACCTTCTGCCTTAGCTTGTCTTGAGGAGAAATAGAAATGATGTCTATGAAGCTGTCAGTAACGTGTGAAAGCGCTGTCCCTGTGAGCATATATGTGTTAAACCTTCTGTTATTCCAAAAGAGAGGTTTGGCACATCAACTCGAGGAATATTTACTTAAGTGGAGGAGAAACAAAGCAACTAAAGTAGCCAAAATTAGCAGTGAACAGAAGAAAATTCTCAGGAGGAAAATGGTTCTTCAGCTGGTTTTGCAAGGATTAGCAACATGTGTGTCCCATTCCAGAGCAGCAAATCACGGCGTAGGCCCTAGCCATTTTGCTCAGGGAGGACTGCGCTCTTCGGGAAAAGTTCTGTTGCAAGTCACAGATTATAGGTGTGTGGTAGAAGGCCAAGCCTGAGTTGTCACTTCCTCAGTGTCAAAGGGTCTCATTACATTTCATTACAGTGATTTTCTTTTTGCTGAAACATTAGGAACCCTGGAGCACTGAGCCAAGATCATGGAACAGAATCACCCTCTCCTGCATGTTTTTGTTTCTGTCTCCTGCTTTTCTGTTCTTTTTCCACTTTCTCTATGTGTGAGTTGACTTGGCTGCCTGTAGCTTCATCGTCAAAGCTGGTCCACGTGGGTTCAACTTGGTGCTCTCACTCTCCTCCAGCATTGTTTTTGTCATCAAAGCTAAAATTAAAAAAAAAAAAAAAGAAAAAAAAAAAAAAACCAAGACAGAAAAGAATGTTGTGATTGCCTTCTGGCCACGTTCAGCTTGCTCATGGAGCCACAGGCTTCATCTCAGCACTGTTTGTTCTCAGGGCCAAGTCACTGGAAACCAGGCTCTTAAGTTTGAGCCTGGAAAAGAACACGTGGGACTCTGAAGAGGCGGTGCCAGGACCTCAGAGTGACAGGGCAGGGTCCCTGCACACAGGGGCCTTGCAGGGAAAAGCACACATCTTCTGTTGCAGCCTTAAGGATTCTGCCAAGAGCTACTTCCAGACTTCATTTGTCATGGCCACATGCTGATGCTGATGTTGAGAAAGAACTGGCTGTTAGACGTTATCTACTGCTGCATGAGAGAGCCCTCTATGATTACCAATATAACATACAGAAAATCTGTGCCCTGTATGTCACTGTCACCCCTTCCTCTTCTGAAATAGGACACACAGTTGAACCATTCAGATGAAAAATAGTGCATTGCAAGGCCAGGATTACAGCAGTCTTTGCATTAAGATAACTATGATTTTGTAGAGGGGATTACTGATGTGAGGCCTCAAAGGTAGTTGAATTTCATTCTACCGTTTCAATGCTATTCATTGGTTCAGTTTTTACAGAAGACTCCAAATTTAAGATTCACTCACTGTGGAGATTTCTAACTCATATCAGAAATGAGGATCTTAAACAGTAGCCAGACTCTTCAGGATTCTCCACGTCACCTAGTGAACTGGTGGTATATTGTGCAGACGAGCTTTCCTGGACCCCGTCATGGGCTGCATTTGTCAATCCAAGTAAATGACCGTCCTCACACTTTTATCCTCAGGGAAGTTTGTTATTTTTTTTTAATTTGCTCATAGAAAGAAATATGACTCTGTTCTCTGTGTTTTACACTGAAGAGATACAGAATTAACAAGAAAACAAAGAAATTCTACTTGAAATGGCACCCTCCTCTGTGGTATTGTGAGGAAGCATTCCTTACTCAAAGAACGTTAGACAAACACCTTCCAAAGCAGGGTTGGCTCTGGGTCTTACTGCACAAAACTAGGTAGGAATCTATAAAAGTAATAGGTACTTTTCATTTGGACAGGTGTATGTCCTAGTTTAAAATTTGGTTATTGCTGCAATAAATACTATAAGCTTTTTCTAAGTTTATGTAACCTTCACGACGTAATTGTTTATTCACTAGATTGTGGGCAGATGAGAAATGTCATTCTGCCAACACACTCATTTATCCTATTTCCACCTCTTGCTATGCTACTAAAGCAAATATAACTCCTAGGGAGCACCTAGGCATATACATGTGTGCAGACGTGTGTGTATACACACATGGGCTTGACATGCCATTAAAAGCATATGTTTGATTTTAATAGGACTGATTTTTTTGACAAGCATATAAGAAGTAGCAAAAGTCTGGCACTGCCATTTACTGCAGTGTGACCTTAGACATGTCACCTACCCTTGAGCCTGAGCCTCAGTTTCTACTTCTGTAAATGCATACCACAATGACTACCTTTTAGGGTTGTTGAAAGAATCAAAAGCAACAGTAGTACCCAGTACATGATACTGTATCATTTTATTGATTTTAATATGCATATTGTTTCTTTTTTAACAATGCTAAAATTGAGATCCACCCTAAAATTAACGGCATCTAAAACACTATGCTGTGGTTTAATGGGTAGATTTTTTTCCTTCTTACGGACAGATAAAATAATAGTACCTCTTACAATCCGTAGCATAGTAGAATCAGTAAAAGAGAGTAATTGGCATCATTATGCTTTGTCAAGTCATCAGAGAATTATGTATTTTAACAATGCTACCATTGTTCAAACACACTTTGGGGGCCCAGGATCTTCTCTTTAGTGCCTTCAGAACTGCAGTGAATAAAAACAGTCTTTGGAATTGGAGAAACTTGTTTTCAACTCAGCCCTGTCACCTGCTAGTTGTATAACCTTGGGCAAGTTATTTGACTCTCTAAGTTCCAGTTTCCTCTTATATAAAATAAAACTCATAGTATTTGTTTTATAAGTTTGTTAGATTAAAATAAGAAAAATGTACATAAAGCACAGCCTACTTGGAGGGTACATAGCACGTGCTCAGTAAATGATAACAGAGAAAACAAACTAGTAACTGTGCTTGCTAGTAACAGAACTTTATCTTTGCCATTTTATTTTCCTGAAATAAGAAAAAGTAATCCAAAGTCAACCCTTGCCAAGTTGATGGCCGCATTGAGTGATACTAAACACTAGCATTAAGACAGCCACTTCCAGCCAAGATGGAGTGACAGGGACAGATTTGCCCTCCTGCCCAAAAGACAAAACAACAACAACAACAACAAAAATATATGGAAATATGTTTTTTAGTACACACTGGATGTCAGGCAACGGAGGACAGTAACCTCTGAGATACAGGAAACAAATGAGGTGAGCCCTTCGAGTACCCTAGCTCACTGCTGGGAGACTGAACAGGATGAGGCATGGGGACAGGATTCGGGCAGAGCCCAGCAAGTTCCCTAAGCTTAGAGGACAGAGTTCAGGGCAGCCGGACTGGTAAGAGAACGCAGGGCAGAGGTGAGGAGAATTGCAGTGATTGCTCCAGAGATCTGCAGAGGTGCCCCTGGAGCAGTCAGGGCAGTGCTGATCAGCACAGGAGGAAACTACCTAAGGCTGGGGAACAACCATCCAAAAGGATTAGAGGGAACAGTACTGAATGTTCACACAGGGCTGGGAAGGTGGCCTGTTTCCACCAGCCAGACTGGAAAAGATTAAAATCCACAGGGCATTGGTAGGGTGTTCGGAAGGGTCTTGCCTCTTAGAAGGGGCACTGGCTGCTCCAGACCTGCCTAACAAATCACGAAAGGAGGAGCCAAAAGTACCGCTGCTTCCAAGTAACATAACTGGGTCCCAGAAACGAAGTTCAAGAGTATGTACAGGAATACAAAAATATCTACTGCCCCAGAAGATAAATTTCACAATTAATGGCATCCAATAAAAAATTACCAAGCTTGCAAAGAAGCAGGAAAATATATCCCCTAAACAAGAGAAAAAGAACCAATCAAAATCAACCCAGAACTGATGCAGATGTTAGAATTAGCAGTAGAGATGTTAAACTAATTTTTAGAACCTTATTCTGTATGTTAAGAAAGTTAAGTAGAAGGAAGATATAAAGAAGACACTCAGATTGAACTTAAAGATGAAATCTATAATGTCTGTCATGAAAATTACATTGACATAATTAATGGCGTATTAGACATTGTAAAAGAAAAGATTAGTGAACTTGAAGACGTAGCAATAGGGACTATGTAATATGAAACAGAAAAACAGAATTTTAAAAAAATTAACAGAGAATCAGTTCTGGAGGACAACTTCCAATGCCCTAATGTATGTGTGTAATTGGAGTCCCCAAAAAGGAGGGGAGGACAGAAAAGATATTTGAAGAAATAATGCTAAACATTTTTTTCCAAATTTCATGAAAACTACGAACACAAATATCCAAGAAGCTCAACAAACCCTGTATTAGTCAGCATTCTCTAGAGGGACAGAACTAATAGGATAGATGAATATATGAAGGGTAGTTTATTAGGAGAACTGACTCACATGGTCACAGGGTGAAGTCCCACCATAGGCTGTCTGCAAGCCGAGGAACCAGGAAGCCAGTCCGAGTCCCAAAACCTTAAAAGCAGGGAAGCCTATAGTGCAGCCTTCAGTCTGTGGCCGAAGGCCCAAGAGCCCCTGGCAAATCACTAGTATAAGTCCAAGAGTTCAAAAGCTGAAGAACTTGGAGTCTGATGTTCCAGGGCAGGAAGCATCTAGCATGGGAGGAAGATGGAGGCCAGAAGGCTCAGCAAGTCTGCCCTTCCCATGTCTGCTTTTACACTGGCAGCTGATTAGATGCTGACCACCCAGACTGAGGGTGGGTCTGCTTCTCCCAGTCCACGGACTCAAATGTTGATCTCCTTTGGCAACTCCCTCACAGACACACCCAGGAACAATACTTTGCATCCTTCAATCCAGTCAAGTTGACATTCAGTATTAACCACCACAAATCCCAACAAAAGAAACATGAAAAAAACTGCACTGAGGTCCTTCATAATCATACAGCACAAAACCAGTGATAAACAAAAATGTTAAAGGTAGCCAGAGAAAAAGGACATGATATGTTTACATAGGAGCACAGATAGGATGCCATCTCTTTATTGTATGTTAATTATATACCTTAATAAAGCTGTTAGGGCAAAATAAATTTTAGAACACTGTAACTATACCATATAAAACTGCTTTTCTAATGTGCCTTGTAGACCCACTGTTAAGGCAGTTCCCAAAGGGACACTTAAGACGTATTTTGAACCAAGACTGGTATAGGTAATAGTAGACTTCTAAGATCACTTTATTTTTATTTTTATTTTATTTTAAATTCCGGGGACCATGTGCAGGATGTGCAGGTTTGTTACTTAGGTGAACGTATGCCATGGTGGTTTGCTGCACCTGTCAACCCATCACCTAAGTATTAAGGCCAGCATGCATTAGCTATTTTTCCTGATGCTCTCCCTCCCCCACACCCCCCGCAACAGGCCCCAGTGTGTGTGCCCCTCCCCGTGTCCATGTGTTCTCATTGTTCAGCTCCCACTTACGAGTGAGAACATGTGGTGTTTGGTTTTCTGTTCCTGCATTAGTTTGCTGAGGGTAATGGCTTCCAGCTTCATCGATGTCCCTGCAAAGGACATGAACTCATTCCTTTTTATGTTTTCGTAGTATTCCATGGTATATATGTACTACATTTTCTTTATCCAGTCTATCATTGATTAGCATTTGGGTTGAGTCCATGTCTTTGCTATTGTGACTAGCACTGCAATGAACATATGTGTGCATATATTTTTATAATAGAATGGTTTATGTTCCTTTGGGTATATACCCAGTAATTGGATTGCTGGGTCAAATGCTATTTCTTCCTCTAGGTCTTTGAGAAATTGCCACACTGTCATCCACAATGGTTGAACTAATTTACATTCCCACCAACAGTGTAAAAGCGTCCCTATCTCTCCACAGCCTTGCCAACATCTGTGGTTTCTTGACTTTAATAATCACCATTCTGACTGGTTTGAGATGGTATCTCACTGTGGTTTTGATTTGCATTTCACTAATGATCAGCGATGTTGAGCTTCTTTTTATATGTTTGTTGGCTGCATAAATGTCTTCTTTTGAGAAGTGTGTGTTTGTGTCCTTTGCCCACTTTTTAATGGAGTTGTTTGGTTTTTTTCTTGTAAATTTGTTTAGGTTCCGTGTAGACTCTGCATATTAGACCTTTGTCAGATGGATAGATTGCAAAACTTTTCTCCCATTCCGTAGGTTGTCTGTTCACTCTGATGGGGACTCAGGAATAAGACTGCACGTCTACAACCGTCTGATCTTCAACAGACCTGACAAAAACAAACAATGGGGGAAGGATTCCCTATTTCATAAAGTATTGGGAGAACTGGCTAGCTATATGCAAAAAATTGAAACTTGACCCCTTCCTTATACCTTACACAGAAATTAACTCAAGATGGATTAAAGACTTAAATGTAAAATCTCGAACTATAAAACCCTAGAAGAAAATCTAGGCAATACCATACATAGGCACGGGCAAAGATTTCATGACAAAAACGTCAAAAGCAGTTGCAACAAAAGCAAAAATTGACAAATGGGATCTAATTAAACTAAAGAGCTTTTGCACAGCAAAAGATGTTTTCTTTAAAACAAATGATGCTCAAATTATTTGTATATGTAAATGGGTGCCCAGTTTTTTGTGGGTTGGTTTGTTTGTTATTGTTATTCTTGAGACAAGGTCTTACTCTGTCTCCCAGGCTGGAGTGCAGTGATGCGATCTCGGTTCACTACAGCCTCTGCCTCCCGGGTTCAAGAGATTCTCCTGCCTTAGCCTCCCTAGTAGGTGGGATTACAGATGGGTACCCAGTTTTATTTTGATTAATAAAAGCAATCTTATTAATCAGTGGTCATGCTTTATGTTATCTACATATATTTCAACTTGTTTTCTATGCTGTTGTAAGCCAGTGTGAATACTCATTTATGATTAATCCAGGTATGCTCCTCTTGACCTAAGGAAATCACGCGTCTTCACTTTATTACAATTTTTCAGAAGACGTTTATGAGGTGATCATTTGCTAGACATTACAGTATATTAATCCTTTGCCAAGGTGACCGTTGAATTAGAATTGTAGACAATGTTGTTGGACAAAAATCCTGGGAAGATAAATAGTTGCAGGACAGAAAAGCAATAAGAAGGAGATTTGTGTGTCAGTGAGGGATGGGCTCAACCCTGAATTTTCAAGTTTACTTAGGGTTGCCAGGAACATATTTACTCCTAATATCCATTGTCTTATACCAGAAGATACAAATGTATCTGATTCAAAGAGGTGGTGTCATTTCTAACATTATATCTCTATTTCAGTTCCACACTGCTTGTTATTCAGGGGGAGTGTCCTACCTTGCTACATTGCTAGATGACATTACTCATGAGACAGATCATTCAAAGAATGAAAAGTTACTTTATAATGCTAGTGAAAGCTTTCAAGTATTCATTGTGAGGTAGGCCTACACTTGGGTAATTTTATGGGCTCTCTTGACTCATGTTTGCAGTATTGGGTGTGGAGCAGTCCGATGAAGAGGAAGAGAGAAGTGGTTGCAGAATCCTTCCCTAACTGTATTCTACCAAGTTTGAAGTATGGAATCCCACACAGGCCATTCCTCCTGCAACTCTACCATGGTTAAAAATATATATCTGACACAACCACAACCTCAGCTTGATTTAATAAAAATAACTTTGTGTCTGTCCATGTAAAAGGTCACTGGTGCTTATTATGGCCCAAAGGTTATCGTTTCAGAGCCTCATTTTTCAATGCAACCCTCATAGCAAGAACATGTTATAAGAAAGTAACCTCTACAGTAATGATCATCCACATCTGCATTCTCTAATGTCAGTTTTAAGTGATTTTTAGGGAAAATGGCTGATGTTGAAGTGCTATCATTTATTTCCCTTCCAAAACTTGCAGGAATATGTAGAGAGCTGACTTTAAAAAAATAAAATAAACTCACATTCCTCAAACAGATGCTGTCAATTGGAAAAGGCAGTACCCCCAAAATCTGCATATACCTCACAAGTGTTAGCTGGCTATCTTTATATAATAGCTACTGTATCCCATCTTGGTGCCTCTAATGAAGACCATTACAGAAATACGTTTAACATAAATTAAACTCTACATGGGAGTATTAAGTCCCCAGGCAAATTCTTTCTTTTTGGCTGGTATTTAAGATAAAGACCTCATGAGAGCTGCAGTGGATTTGTGACTCAATAGCTAAATATATGCTTTGAAGAGCGTGGAGAGGTTTCAGAGGAGAATCACGGAGAGGATGTAATGTAGAAACACACACAAACTTTAGAAGGTGGAGGGAACTGGAGTTGCTTGATTGCTGGAAGCAGATCCAAGTAGGAGGAAGAAAAAGAGGTAGACCAGCTTGTATTCCACACAGCACGCTCCACGTGCGTGACCATAGCAAGGTGCGGGGTTTCCACGAGCCGTCGTTCATCTGTGTAATGGGGGCAAATGCCCACACTTGAGAGTTTCTGAGACTGGTAGAGAAAATATGCTTGACACTTAGTAGGTGCTCAGCAAATGCTGGTATTCTTTTTGCTGAAACCCCAAAGCATCAGAGTCAACATTGACTCCCCTCCCTCTCTCACACCCCACAACTTATCCATCAGCGAACGGTTCACTCACTCTCCTTCGGAAATCAACCCAGAATCCAGCTGTGTCTCACCAGCCTCCCAAGCCCCGCTAAACAAAGCCGCCATCCTCTCTGCTGTGGATTTAAGAGCCTCACGGCCTCCATTCTTGCCCTCCTACAGCCCATTGTGAAGATAGTGGCACTTTTTACGTAAGTGAGACCACATTACCTCTCATTCAGAACCCACCTGTGGCTTTACAGCTCTCTCAGTGGAATTCCAGGTCCTTCCCGCAGCTTACAGTGTTCTCCATGACCTGCCCCGCCCCAACCTCACCCCGCTTAGCTCCTGCCCTCTTACCCCCATGCCCTCTCTCCAACCACACTGACCCTTCAGCTTCACCTTGGGGCACTGACACCTGCTCCTCCCCCAGAAAGTTAGAGGGCAGGACTGCTCCCCACACTCTTTCAGTCTCTGCATCAGAGAAGCCTCCGTGGCTTCTCTGAACCCCCCTCACGTTCTTCACCTGCCTCTTTGTGTCTCTCCTCCCGCTAGAATGGAAGCTGCATGGCTAAGGGCCCTGTCCATTGTGCTGGCAACTCTCTCCCTAGTGTCAAGGACGGTGCCTGGAACACAGGAGAAGGACGGTGCCTGGAACACAGGAGCTTGCTGATGGCCTGCTGAGTGGAGGAGTTAGTATTGGCCCTGGAATCCAATGGGAAGCGTTCTGGGCTGAAATTCAGAACACCTGGGGCCTGAATGCAGCTCCTGACCTTGATACCTACCACCTGTCTGATCTTAGGCAAGACCTTGACCTAGAACATTGGCCTCATCCTCCTCCCCTGGAGGTTGGAGGCCTGCGCCACTTCCAGGTCTGAAACCCAACCAGCCCGTGAAGTGCGGGAGAGTCTAGGTAGCAGGTGCTGTTCACGTCCTTCCTGATGTTCAAGCCTTGGGGGTGTTGCTGTAGTTGAACAGGAGCTCTTTCGTTTCTGTTATGGGAGTTTTTTGTCAGTGAGAAGGTTCGTGAACCTTGAAGGGGTTACTGATGTAGGTAAGGACATCTCTGGGGCCTGACAAACGGGGTGGCGCCTCTTGTCCTGGAAAATATTATAGTTGTGATTTTGCCTAAAACTGAGGATGGAGTTCCAGTCCTACTTGTGATTTTAAACATTTGTATCTTCCTTTAAGTAAATATTATTTGGGATGCAGGAAATGAAGTTTTGGAATATTTCAACAGATGGCGCTGCTGGTAGCTATTATCTGACTATAAAAATTAAATTTAATCCTTACTAATTTCAGTAATTTCATTTAAAAAAATTGTATTGCCTCCAAGGATAACACATTAGTTTGTTTAGTCCTTTATCTTACCAGTACCTCAGAGTGAATGGTTTTAACCCTTTTATAAAGCATTGCCAGCCCTGCAACCTGGGCAGCTCAATTTCAGAAGTTGCTGCGTTAATGTACTGTGCACTGTGACTCAGTGCTGTCATAGAAAATGTGCCAAAATGCTTTACTCAGAGGGAAAGATGGTTTGCATATAAGTACATTCCATTATGGCTTATGCCATAAATACAAGCCAACCCGGGGGGGATCTATTTAGATCCTTTAAATAGATGCAAATATTTTCTTAAATGGTTATACAAAGACAAATACTGTGACTAATCAGTGGACACAGAGAAAGATGCGTGCTTGCTAGAGTCTAAGGAGAAAATGTTTTGCAGAGAATGATGGCCAAAGTGTCAGAGATCCCAGTGACACTCACTCATCAGCTTCCCCCCACACCCTCTCCAACCATTTCCAGTTGGTCTTCCAGCAAGACCATTTTAATTATGTAGCCATGCACTTGCTTCTGGGTGTGGTTTCCCTGATTGCATACTTAAGTGCAGATTACAAATATTTGGCAGGATTCCTTCCTCTGTGGGAACCAGACAAGTCATAACACCAACTGAACGCTCTACACTGTTGTGCGGGAAAGAGGCCGCGTCATCTCGGGTTTCAGAGTGCAGAGCAGGAGAAACTGGCTTCAGTTCTGCTCCTCTCTCACAGCCACATGCCCCCAGCCAGCAAAGGGTCTGTAATGAGGGCTACAGACTTCGCTTCTTCTGCCACCACTGTAACCAGACCCACGGCCAAAAAGAACCAGCCAGAAAGCCCAATGTGGAGCGACTTCTTGTCTCAGAAAATGACTCCACGGCCTGTGCTTTATGGCATGATCACCCAGAATGCTAGAGAGAAATTAAGATTCGGGCATGCACGTCTATGCCAAAGGAAGACTTCACCAGGGGATATTCAGGAATTCACTGATAAGCTTAAGAAGATTTTTGCAATTGTTAGCTCTTAAAATCATTTTTAATTAGTGAAGCAGAGAAATGCTGAGTGAAACAGCCATACTTTTCCCCAACTTGATTGGGAAAATCTCCATCCTGTGCCCCTCCATTCCTTCCCATCCTTCCTCTTCACTCCGTTTTTCCTGGTAAATGTTATGGCCACGTTCTGAGCAACCAACCTCCCTGTGCTCTGTGCGGCCAGCTTGGAACTGCAGGTGGGGGAGGATGGACACCCATTTCCTGTCTCCCAATCTGGGAATCCATGGGCATAAATCTGCAAACGCTGGCATAGTCATTGTTGGCATGAATGGAGACGAGGAATATATTGTCAGCAGGCCTTTGAATTTCATTTTCAGATTAAACAGTTTTTTTTAATTAAAAAAAAACCCTTACTAAAGTCGCTTAGCAAACAAAGAGCTATACTGTTTGCATCATTGAAAACAGAAGAGCAATAGCAGTGCCAGATACTCCTCTATTACTTTGTTTGTTTGTTGTTTTTTGTTTTTGAGATGGAGTCTCGCTCTGTCACCCAGGCTGGAGTGCAGTGGCGTGATCTCGGCTCCGGCCTCAGCCTCCCAAGTAGCTTGGATTACAGGCATGTACCACCACACTGGGCTAATTTTTTTGCTGTTTATAGTAGAGACGGGGGTCTCACCATGTTGACCAGGCTGATCTCGAACTCTTGACCTCAAGTGATCTGCCCACCTCGGCCTCCCAAAGTGCTAGGATTACAGGCATGAGCCACCGCACTCAGCCTCCTCTATTACTTTTTAATTCAAGTGTCTCAAGGTGCTTTACAAGTGTTAATTAAGTCTACCTTTTTTTTAAGGTGGGTAAGTAGTTAAAAAAAAAGGGGGGGGAGAGAGGGAGCAGTTTTGTGTCATAGTATTTGAAGGAGAAAAGCAACACTTAAGCCTGACATCATTGTGGCTTCAGTGGCAGGCACAGGTTGATAATTCTAAATGGCAACTAACAGGAAGAGGATGAATAATTTACTGTGTATATTTACTTGGTGCCAGGTGCTGGACTCGGTTTAACCCCCAGCTTTAATGAGGTATAATTTATTTAAAATAAAAATCACCCACTAAGGGTGTACATTTGATGAGTTTTGGCCATATACAGTTGTGTAACCATCACCACAGCCAAGACAGGACCATCTCCAGCCCCAGCAAAAAGCTCGCTCCTCCTGCTTTGTAGTCAGTCCTGCCCCCAACACCGCCCCTTTTCTGGTCACTGTAAGTTTAGAATGTTGTGTAAATGGAATCCTTCAGTATGTGTCTTTTGTGCTGGCCTTCCTTTACCTGGCACAATGTCATTGAGATTTACCATGTTCCCCGGTGTGTCTGTTCGTTCCTTTTCATTCATTTCATAGTCTTCGTTCGTGTGGATGCATTGCCGCACAGCCGTTCACCTGAAGCTCATTTGGGTTGTTTCCTTTGGGGATGATACGAATGTTGCTGCTGTGAACATTTGCATTCCTGGTTTGTGTGGACATGTGTTTTTATTGCTCTGGTTACATACGTTTGAGTGAGCCCACGGTTCATCTGGGAAGTATGTCTGTGGCCAGGCTCAGGCTGTTTTCCACAACCGCTCTGCCCTGTTGCATTCCCACCAGCAACACGGGAGACTTCCAGCCGCCCCACATCCTGGTGTTTCCATACGACTTCAGCGGATGCTCACACAGCACGGTGAAGTCACTACTTCTGTGACTCCCACTTCACCAAGGAGGAAGCTGAGGCCTGAAGAGAGTGAGTGGTGTAAAATACAAAAAAAATAGCTGATAGAGGGCGGATCCAGGTCTACTGATGGCAAAACCCACCCTCATAGCTGATAGAGGGCGGATCCAGGCCTCCCGATGGCAAAACCCACCCTCATAGCTGATAGAGGGCGGATCCAGGCCTACCGATGGCAAACCCCACCCTCATAGCTGATAGAGGGCGGATCCAGGCCTACCGATCGCAAAACCCACCCTCTTTCTATTACAGTATAAAATGTGTTATGCCTCAACTTAGAAAAACTTCTGTTCATAACCTAGAGGACATTAGGACAGGTGCAGTGTGATTACCTGAATGTCAGAAGCCAAGAGCCTACTACTTCATCTCACGAGTTATGAAAAGTTGAACGTGTCCAAGGGAACTTTCTAAACTAACTAAAAATCAAGTTTAGGAAAAACACAAGTGAGACAAAAGCACCTCTCATGTCTAAAGGTTTTTCCCCCAAATGCGTGTATCGTGTCATTTCTATGTAATAACCGATCCTCATCCTTGAAAGCCATGAGGGCAGTGGTCACATCCTATTTGCTAAAGGTGGGAGAAGATGGTGCATCAGACCCGGGATTCCTGGCCCTCTCACATGTTTCCCACCAGAGTTTCTTGGGTTAAAATAATTTCTCCATTATGACAGGGCTTGAGGCAGATATCCTAAGACCTTTAAAACTAGAGCCATCCAGGCCGCGCGCGGTGGCTCACGCCTGTAATCCCAGCACTTTGGGAGGCCGAGGCGGACAAATCACGAGGTCAGGAGATGGAGACCATCCTGGCTAACACGGTGAAACCCGGTCTCTACTAAAAATACAAAAAACTAGCCGGGCGTGGTGGCGGGCGCCTGTAGTCCCAGCTACTCGGGAGGCTGAGGCAGGAGAATGGTGTGAACCCGGGAGGCAGAGCTTGCAGTGAGCCGAGATTGCACCACTGCACTCCAGCCTGGGCAACAGAGCAAGACTCTGACTCAAAAAACAAACAAAAGAAACCTAGAGCCATCCCTGGAGTAAAATGTGTGCTGTAGGAGCCAGTCCCAAAGAGACAGGATGTCGACGTCGGCATAGTGAGACTCCCACGTGCTCACCCACGTGCGTGGTTTTACCCCGTCTCCATGACCCAGCCACGGGTCTTATATTGGGGGCTTCTAGGACCAACTAGGCCAATAGAAGTGCTTTCTTTAATTGAATTAAAATGTCAGTAAATTTCACCCAAATATCCAGATTTCCCTTTCTAAAAAAATGAGGCCGGGCGCGGTGGCTCACGCCTGTAATCCCAGCACTTTGGGAGGCCGAGGCGGGCGGATCACGAGGTCAGGAGATCGAGACCATCCCGGCTAAAACGGTGAAACCCCGTCTCTACTAAAAATACAAAAAATTAGCCGGGCGTAGTGGCGGGCGCCTGTAGTCCCAGCTACTTGGGAGGCTGAGGCAGGAGAATGGCGTGAACCCGGGAGGCGGAGCTTGCAGTGAGCCGAGATTGCGCCACTGCACTCCAGCCTGGGCGACAGAGCGAGACTCCGTCTCAAAAAAAAAAAAAAAAAAAAAAAAAAATGAAAGGCCATCAGCACTGGGGCAGATTCCTCACTGACTGGCCTGCCCGCCTGCCTGGCCTAGTGGGCACACAGAGTCCCCGGTCCTCCCAGTGGCAATGGCACCAGCATGGCCAGAGGGCACAAGCCTCAATCTCTTTCATGTGGGCTGACCAGAAATGCCAGCAGTGAGGCTGAGCTTGGTAGCAGTGGAGGCCTGAGGAGGCGGGGGTTGGCAGAGGAGCTCGTTTGGGCTCAGACACTGCTGCCTCTTTCTGTCTGAAGGTGTTATGAAGTGTACCTATCTTTTGGGACATAGATTCCTTTTACTCCTTCCTTTGTATTTGTCATAAAATAAATTATAGAATAAAATAAAGACATATCATGAAATTACTCATAATTGCATTACTTGGGAAGGTAAAACATAGGTATTTAACAAACATCAAAGTTTTGGGAGGAAAAGGCATTTCATAAACCTAGACATACGCAATACTGAAGGCCAGGAGACTTGTAAGTGAAGGGGCCATACCGTGGAGCCAGGTCTTCTAAATCTAAATCTCATATCTTTCCATATTAAGAAAAAAAAAAAGCCAGGCACAGTGGTTCACGCCTGTAATCCCAACACTTTGGGAGGCGAAGGCAGATGAATCACTTGAGCCCAAGAATTGAGACCAGCCTGGGCAACATAGCAAGACCTTGTCTCTATAAGAAATACAAAAATTAGCCGCACACTGTGGTGCGTGCCTATAGTCCCATCTACTCAGGAGGCTGAAATGGGAGGATCACCAGCGTGCAGGGAGGTCAAAACTGCAGTGAGCTGTGATCGTGCCACTGCACTCCAGCCTTAGTGCATTTCTGCACAGACACACTGAGTGGTGTTTTGAAAATCAGATTCACGGCATTCTCTTTAGCACCTTCCAGCACTTTATGGTGGGGGTTGCTGGTGAGATCCCCTGGCCTCTCTGCCTGGGGCTGCCAGGGAGCTGGCGGATGCCACTCTCCACCGGAGGCCTTCCCTGGCAGTCGTAGACTGTTCCCACTGTGCGCCTGGGTCTACCGCCTGGTCCTCCTCACCTGGAGCCACACTGATTTCCATCTTGTCCTGAATGGCAGAGCTTTCATAATTTCTTACAACCTCAGATTCTGACCTCTGTAGGACCACTTTCTTCTTGAGCCATTTTGGGACTGTAGATGCTAGAACACAGCAGATTGAAAATGCAGTGACATATCCCACCATGTAACAGAATCTGTAGTAAGATGTCACCCATGGCAGCCAAGCAGAAGCTTTTATCACAGCCCAACAAGTACCAGCGTGTCTTGGCGGCAGGGTGGCAGGACACTGTGAGGAGGCAGGTGTGTAGACACAGTCCTCTTCTGCATTGGCACATGCCCTGTGCTCATCGCCTCTCGGTGGGGGAGGTGTGTGTGTGTGTATATAGGTGTGTGTATCTGTAAGTGTGTGTATTTGTAGGTGTACGTATGTGTATGAGTGTGTTGTGCACTTGTGTGTGTATGTGTGAGCATGTGTATGTATATTCGATGTATGTGAGAGTATATTTGTGTTACTTCTTTCTTTTTATCCTCCCTGCCGAGGAGGCAACAGTAAATGTGAACGGTGAGAGAGAACAGACTAGTTGTTACATTCTGTCTCACCCACTGATGTGACTTTTCTTTAGGAAACATCATCCAGGGTAACCTGTCATGAAAAGCTGCCTTTTAGGTCACTTATGTCCATTTCAGAAATGGCAAGGGCTCTGGGCATCCACCAGGCACCAGGCCCTATTATAAGAAGACCCCTTTGCAGTCATCTTTTTGTGGTTTGTTCAATGGGCACATGCTGGGCAAAGGCACTTACCAGGCAAACCATTATGTGGCTCTGGCGGCTCAAGTGATGCACCTGGAACATACGCCGTTCATGACACTTTGCCTTTATGGGCCCCTTTAACTCGAGGATCTCAAAGGGCCTCAGCAGTATGACCTTGCGTGTCCTGGCCGGGCGCCCAAGGGAGGGAGGCCAGAAGGTCCACGCTGCTTTCCGTGTGAGAAGTCAGGTCACGGTGCCGGATCAGAACTAACACCTGGCCTGCACCCTCATTGGTGTGGTACTTTGGAAGGCAGAGGTATAAGAGGAGAACTAGCAATGTTGGCAAATGCTGATAGTTGGGGTCAGGATCCCAAAACATTTAAATTCTGATAGGGGTCAGGCCCTGTTTATTTACTGCCACTCAGCTCTCTGCCTGTCCTGTTCATTAACCTGATGACTTAGAGTCATGTCTGGATGGTTTGGAAGGTGCCACGAGGAAGCAGGTGGATGAAGGGCGCACATCAAGAATTCATGGTAGCACAGAGAAATGCCTCATATAAGTGAAGTTCACCTCTGAGGCCCGGTCTTTGAATATCTGGATGCCTATTTTCTTAGGCAGTAGAATTTCCTCTTTGTGACCAGCTGAAAATATCATCTACAAAGTGCGCGTAATTTCAGTGTACAAGACTTAGCCTAATGTGTGAAATTACAGACTAGTTGAAATTAATGATCAATTTGGCAGGTATTTGTTCAATGTGGCTATGGCTTATCCAGGCTGTGACATCCAAGAACAATATATTTCATTGTCAATCTTTTATTTTGTTTTCTTTCCTTTTTTTTCCTTGTCTCCAGGAGACCAATTAATTGTTCAAAGGTAATATATAGAGATCTCAAGAGCATTTACTTTGGCACAGTCTCTGCCCCTTTGTGGTCTGGCTAACAATAAAGCTAAGATTTGTTTTGTAATGACGGTTCCAGTTGGACTGGAATTCCTTTGAAGTTCCTGAAGTTTGCTGTTGTGAGAGCTCAAGATATTATTTGACTGCAATGAAACACTCTCTGTGTATTATCAAAATATCGTATACACTGAACTGTAACAACTTGCAGTAATCAGACTTCTCCTTCGAGGTGGCCTGCGTGAGTAGAGAGCATCCACAGAGAGATGAGCTTCTCCCAACATCCATTTAGTGTTCAGTCATCACGGGCCACTCATGGATCTGAACCTTCTTACAAGGTCGATACCAACAGGTATGAGGAGCAGAGAGCAGATCAGCACGGAGCAGCATTAGCTGGGGCCCCCTTGCCTGGCCTGGCAGTGAAGATAGAGCACCATGCCAGTTGTTCAGCTTCTCAGCGCTTGCGTCAGCTGACCTAAATTATTTAAGGATGTTGTCACCTCTAAATAAATATAGTCATTGTCCTGGTCTCTATTTATATTTTAAAACTCTTTCCCAGCCCACCCCGATGGCCTAAAACAATTCATATATTTCAGTAGAAGAGGGTGTCACAGGGCTATTTGCACAGGTTTGGATCCAGTGCCAGCGTTAGCCTTCACACAAGTTACACTCCTCTGAGATGTAACTGTCTCCTGTGTATGAGTGCCAAAGTATTTGATAACCGCCATCTGTCTGCTCTCAACACAGGTTTCACAAGCACAGTGATGTCTTCCATTGTGTGCGTAACAACTGTGTGTGTGCGGAGAGAGAGGACTCTGTACGCATGCACATGTTTGGAGCTACATAAATCTGAGAAGCAGTTTTGTCTAGTGTCGTTTCAGTAAATGGGACTCATTTAGTCAGTTTGCTTTGCTGTCAGAATCATATTCCAGATATCAGAATGTGCTATGGCAGGTACTTGTTTAAAACAAGTAATAATATCCTTGTAATGTTTAGCAATACAGCTGACTGGTCTGTGTTCCATTACTTGTGTAAAAGGAAATATGTAAAGCTTTTAAAAATAAGTTTAAATGATCAAAAGAGATGCCTGAAAATATATTTTGGCACAGGAAATTACAGGAATTTATAAATGTGTCATGTGGAAAGATAATTACAAAGTTTATTTTAATCTTTTATCTCTGACTGAATCTTAAGTTAAAATATTCTTCCCGGCATCCTGTCTGGTTTTTGCCACTGTCCCTGCTTTACGTGTTACCTTTCCATGTTGATCTGAGTTGCATTTAGTTGAGGAGAAAAAAAAAAATAAAAGTCCATTGAACTCACTTCTGATTCCAGCCCAACTTGTAAGGAGCAAGGAAGTTGTCACTCAGCCCCCACAACAAGAAGAAAGCCAAACACACTGAAAATCAGCAGCTCTTCCTGGTTCCTTTAGTGAATCAAGGTCACCAGGGAACCAGGCTGCTCAAATCTGAGAGATCGATGGATACAAAGAATCAGAGCTTGCCAGGAGCAGCAGCTGCCACTGGAGCCAGCATTGGGTGGGAACATTGGGAGGGTGATTGACTAAGGGCTACAGACGCGGTGTGGACTAGCTTGAGGGGAGACCTTTGTTAGGGAGAACAGAGTCCTCTGGGTATATTTCAAAATGGTTACTTTTCTCCTCCTCCTGCCAGAAGCACAGGGGATTTTTTCCTGATCTTCGCCTTGAGAACCTACTAAGGGGTAAAACTCACGCAAGTTGTGGGGTCCCTCCTAAGGCTGGCCACCAAGAGTTTTTGATCTCTCAAGCTAATAAAAACCAGAGCAGCAATTAATAAAAATGAAAACAGGAAATTACAAATATAAAAAGTTAAAGAAGTTCCATCACTATTAATCCCATCGATATGAGAAGGCTAACAAAGGAATTTTTTTATTCAAATGTTTTTATTTATTTTTTTATTATACTTTAAGTTCTAGGGTGCATGTGTACAACGTGCAGGTTTGTTACATATGTAGACATGTGCCATGTTGGTGTGTTGTACCCATTAACGCGTCATTTACATTAGGTATATCTCCTAATGCTATCCCTCCCCCCTCCCCCCACCCCACGACAGGTACCGGTGTGTGATGTTCCGCACCCTGTGTCCAAGTGTTCTCATTGTTCAATTCCCACCTATGAGTGAGAACATGCGGTGCTTGGTTTTCTGTCCTTGCGATCGTTTGCTCAGAATGATGGTTTCCAGCTTCATCCATGTCCCTGCAAAAGACATGAACTCATCCTTTTTTATGGCTGCAAAGTATTCCATGATGTATATGTGCCACATTTTCTTAATCCAGTCTATCATTGATGGACATTTGGGTTGGTTCCAAGTCTTTGCTATTGTGAATAGTGCCACAATAAACATACGTGTGCATGTGTCTTTATAGCAGCATGATTTATAATCCTGTGGGTATATGCCCAGTAATGGGATGGCTGGGTCAAATGGTATTTCTAGTTCTAGATCCCTGAGGAATCGCCACACTGTCTTCCACAATGGTTGAACTAGTTTACAGTCCCACCAACAGTGTATTTCTCCACATCCTATTTCTCCACATCCTCTCCAGCACATCCTCTCCAGACCTGTTGTTTCCTGACTTTTTAATGATCGCCATCCTAACTGGTGTGAGATGGTATCTCATTGTGGTTTTGATTTGCATTTCTCTGATGGCCAGTGATGATGAGCATTTTTTCATGTGTCTGTCGGCTGCATAAATATCTTCTTTTGAGAAGTGTCTGTTCGTATCCTTTGCCCACTTTTTGATAGGGTTGTTTGATTTTTTCTTGTAAATTTGTTTAAGTTCTTTGTAGATTCTGTATATTAGCCCTTTGTCAGATGGGTAGATTGCAAACATTTTCTCCCATTCTGTGGGTTGCCTGTTCACTCTGTTAGTTTCTTTTGCTGTGCAGAAGCTCTTTCGTTTAATTAGATCCCATTTGTCTATTTTGGCTTTTGTTGCCATTGCTTTTGGTGTTTTAGTCATGAAGTCCTTGCCCATGCCTATGTCCTGAATGGTATTGCCTAGGTTTTCTTCTAGGGTTTTTATGGTTTTAGGTCTAACATTTAAGTCTTTAATCCATCTTGAATTAATTTTTCTATAAGATGTAAGGAAGGGATCCAGTTTCAGCTTTCTACATATGGCTAGCCAGTTTTCCCAGCACCGTTTATTAAATAGGGAATCCTTTCCCCATTTCTTGTTTTTGTCAGGTTTGTCAAAGATCAGATGGTTGTAGATGTGTGGTATTATTTCAGGGACTCTATTCTGTTCCATTGGTCTATATCTCTGTTTTGGTACCAGTAGCATGCTGTTTTGGTTACTGTAGCCTTGCAGTATAGTTTGAAGTCAGGTAGTGTGATGCCTCCAGCTTTGTTCTTTTTGCTTAGGATTGTCTTAGCAATGCGGGCTCTTTTTTGGTTCCATATGAAGTTTAAAGTAGTTTTTTCCAATTCTATGAAGAAAGTCATTGGTAGCTTGATGGGGATGGCATTGAATCTATAAATTACCTTGGGCAGTGTGGCCATTTTCACGATATTGATTCTTCCTATCCATGAGCATGGAATGTTCTTCCATTTGTTTGTGTCCTCTTTTATTTTGCTGAGCAGTGGTTTGTAGTTCTCCTTGAAGAGGTCCTTCACATTCCTTGTAAGTTGGATTCCTAAGTATTTTATTCTCTTTGAAGCAATTGTGAATGGGAGTTCACTCATGATTTGGCTCTCTGTTTGTCTGTTATTGGTGTATAAGAATGCTTGTGATTTTTGCACATTGATTTTGTATCCTGAGACTTTGCTGCAGTTGCTTATCAGCTTGAGGAGATTTTGGGCTGAGACAATGGGGTTTTCCAAATAACTTCTTCTTGGTTTAGTCTTGAGAGGGTGTATGTGTCCAAGAATGTATCCATTTCTTCTAGATTTTCTAGTTTATTTGTGTAGAGGTGTTTATAGTATTCTCTGATGGTAGTTTGTATTTCTGTGGAATCGGTGGTGATATCCCCTTTATCATTTTTTTTTTTTTTGAGACAGAGTCTCACTGTGTGGCCCAGGTTGGAGTGCAGTGGCGTGATCTCGGCTCACTGCAACCTCCACCTCCCGAGTTCACGCCATTCTCCTGCCTCAGCTTCCCGAGTAGCTGGGACTACAGGCACCTGCCATCACACCCGGCTAATTTTTTTATATTTTTAGTAGAGATGGGGTTTCACTGTGTTAGCCAGGATGGTCTCAATCTCCTGACTTCGTGATCCACCCGCCTCGGCCTCCCAAAGTGCTGGGATTACAGGCATGAGCCACCGCACCCAGCCAGCTAACATTATACTTGATGGTGAGAAACTAGATGCTTTCCCCCAAGATCAGGAACAAGGTAAGGATGTCCCTTCTTCCACCACCATGATTCAGTGTTGCACTGGAAGCCCTTTCTAATACAATAATGTAAGAAAAGGAATAAAAGGCTTGCAGATTTGGGAAGGAAGAAATAACACTGTCTTTGTCTTTCACAAGTGACATAATGGTCTATATAGAAAATCCCGAAGAAACAACCAAAAAAAAAAAAAAATCCTGGAACTAATTTATAGCAAGGTTGCACGATACAAGTTTAATATACAACAGTCAATTGGTTTTCCATATTCTAACAACGAACGAGTGCAATTTTAAATTTAAAACAATGTATCAGCACTTTGGGAGGCCGAGGCAGGCAGATCACCTGAGGTCAGGAGTTGGAGACCAGCCTGACCAACATGGAGAAACTCCGTCTCTACTAAAAATACAAAATTAGCCAGGCGTGGTGTTGCATACCTGTAATCCCAGCTACTTGGGAGGCTGAGGCAGGAGAATCGCTTGAACCTGGGAGGTGGAGGTTGCAGTGAGCCGAGATCGCATCATTGCACTCCAGCCTGGGCAACAAGAGCAAAACTCTGTCTCAAAAAAGAAAAAAAGAAAGAAATTTAAAACAATGTAATTTACATTAACACCCCCAAAAAAGAAATAGTTGTAAGTCTAAAAATTATGTGTAAGATCTATTTGAAGGGCCAGCCATGTTGGCTCACACCTGCAATTCCAGTACTTTTGGAGGCCAAGGCAGGCAGATTGCTTGAGCCCAGGAGTTCAAGACCAGCCTGGGCAACATGGTAAAAATCCATCTCTATTAAAAAAAAAAAAAAATTAGCTGGGTGTCCCAGCTACCTGGGAGACTGAGGTGGGAGAATAGCTTGAGCCCGGGAGGTTGAGGCTGCAATGAGCCGTGTGAATGCATCACTGCGCTCCAGCCTGGGCGATAGAGCAAGACTATGTCAAAAAAAAAAAAAAAAAAAAAAAAGAGAGAGAGAGAGAGTTGATGAGTTGGAACTTCAGAAAAATTAAAAACTTCTGCTCCATGAAAGACACTGTTAAGAGTGTGAAAAGACAAGTAGACAAGTCAAGACTGGGAGAAGAAGCTTTGCAATACACATAGTCAGTAAAGGACTGATTATCTAGAATGTACAAAGAACTCTTAAAACTCAACCACAAGAAAATGAACAACCTGATTTAAAAATGAGCTAATAGACACCTCACCAAAGAAGATATACAGATGGCAAGTAAGCATATGAAAATATGCTCAGCGTCATACGTCACTAGGGAATTTAAACTAAAACAACCATGAGATACCACTACAATCCTATTAGAATGGCAAAACATTAGAATACTAACATCAAATGCTGACTAGGAGGAGGAGCAGCAGGAACTCTTGTTCATTGCTAGTGGGAATGCAAAAGGTTTAGACACTTTGCACGAATGTTTGCAATTTCATAAATAGCACGATGGTTTCACTACGCAATCAGCAACCTCGCGGCTATGTATTTACCCAATTAAGTTGAAAACATGTCCTCAGAAAAACCTGCGCATAGATGTTTATAGCAGCATTATTAATAATCAACCTAAACTGGAAGCAAGCAAGACATCCTTCTAATGGATCAACTTCTGGTACGTTCATCCAATGGAATGCTCTTCAGTGATAAAAGGAAATGAGCTATCAAGCCATGAAAGGCCATGGAGGAACCTTAAATGTATGTCGCTAAATGAAAGAAGCCAGTCTGAAAAAGCTGAGTACTGTATGATTCCAGCTATATGACATTCTGGGAAAGGCGAAACTATGGAGAGAGTTAAAAGATCAGTGTTTGCCCAGGGTCCAGGGGAGGGATAGAGGAAGAGCACAGGGGGCTTTTGTGGCAGCAGAACTATTCTATATGATATAGTAATGGTGGATACATGACATTATACGTTTGTCAAAATCTGTAGACTCATGCCATGGAGTGAACCCTAATGTAAAAATCTATGGATTTTAGGTAATAATAATATCAGTTCATCAGTTATAACAAATATAACACTCTGAGATATATTGTTAATAGGGGAAATTGTGCAAGAGTGGGGTGGAGGAAAGGTCCTGTGAGAACTCTCTGTACTTTCTGTGTAGTTTTTCTATAAAGCTAAAACTGCTCTAAAAATACTAAGTCTATTTAAAAAAAAAAAAAGCCCTTTGGTAACCTAACTGAGGAGAAGTCACGAAGTTGAAAAAAACTGAGTCTCCTCATGCCAAAAAAGTAGTGGGATGGAGGGGAATGGATGTGGTCCCCTGATCACTTGGCCCTGCAATTTGTTGAACCAAGCAGCCACAGTGTTGTGCAGGCATCGGTCAGCTGAGGATGAGCAGGCTGGACAGCCTGAGATACTAGAAAACAGAGCTGGCATTGGTGACTGTCTGAAACTGGAGAGACCTCTCTGAGATCTTAAACCTCATCTCTTTTCACTGAAGTTCAAGCCACTGGTGGGCCTGCTGGATCCGCTGCCAGCTGCTGTTGGCTGATCAATGTTTGTTTCATGCTGTTTGAAAATACAGTATAGACTTCGCAATTCCCAATCCTCGCTGAAATGCCCGGCTGGGAGTGGTGGGAGTGCACAGCCAGCAATTAGATGTTTCTTTTGTCACATCCAGAAAGGACACCAGGGAATGCCTTTATTCCAGCCCTGTGACATCTCCAGCATCTGACTAGCATCTCAGGGCAGTTTCCTAAGAAAGGGTCAGAAGAATGCAGCGTCAGACAGAGCACAGTTAACCCCAGAATTTTGCATCACCACTGTTCCATTGCCTGGTGAGGTGCTTAGATTCTCTGGCAAACCTATTTGAACAGGAGGGTTTTCACTTTCTGGAAAGGTACCCAGTCTGGTGGTGATGAAACAGGTTTTCTCTCTGTACTCCCGGGTGAACCCTCTGCAGTCTGCCATTTCTTGGAATCCTCTTAACCAATCTTAGAATTATCTCCCAGCATCAGATTTTGCTTATTAAGGAAACCAGGCATTGTGAAATGCTCCTTTCTACACTAATCTGAAAGACATAAATAGTGGCAGAGAATGTTAGACATAGAGCGGGAAATTTCAGAGACTTTTGTTGGAAGAATCATCACTCTCCTGCAGGAACTGCAAAAAACACTTGATCTCTGTTTACACATGCCTGCAGACACACAGAGAGGCCCTAATCAGCGGCTTGTGGACAGCCTTCTATCATAGCTACCCACTTTTCTCTATGACCTTCCCTGTTCTTCCACTCCATGTCTATCCTGACTCTCATTCACGCATCACGGCTTGGACACTTGTGCTGCCTTTATCATTTGGGAAAACATGGCGCAGCAATGGCCTCAAGTTTGTCAGACGTCTCAAATGCTCCACAGTCGTCGTCTCTGAAGCCAGACCCAAATGTAGTTGTCTTGGTGATTACTGGGCATTGTCTAATCCAGGAAAAAACACTCTTTTGTAGAAATATAATAAGACAGTGTGGGTGGTGCTGGATCTGCAGTTTTGTCATTTTGAAATTTATTGGGTTGATGCAAAAATAATCACAATTTTTGCCACTAAAAGTAATGGCAGAAAGTAATTAAAAATAGGCCAGGCGCGGTGGTTCACGCCTGTAATCCTAGCAATTTGGGAAGCCAAGGTGGGCAGATCATGAGGCTGGGAGATCAAGGCCATCCTGGCCAACATGGTGAAACCCTGTCTCTACTAAAAATACAAAAATTAGCCGGGTGTGGTGGCGCACACCTGTAATCCCAGCTATTCGGGAGGCTGAGGCAGGAGAATCAGTTGAACCCGGGGGGCAGAGGTTGCAGCGAGCCAAGATCACACCACTGCACTCCAGCCTGGCGACACAGTGAGATTCCGTCTCAAAAAAAAAAAAAAAAAGTAATTAAAAGTATGGCAAAAACCAAGATTACTTTTGCACCAACCTTAATATCTTATACATACTTAGGGATGGACAAAATGCTTTCCTCTCAAATTCTCAGAATGATATCGTTGATTCCGTGTTTCTACGTATTTGCTTGGTGGTTTACATTTATATACATTGTGACTGTAAACCCAGAAAATAATAATGCCCTTTAGTAGAGTAGCCTTTTGTGGTGGGGTGCGTGGGGGTGGGTGTTGTTTTTGGCTTGATCCCAAAAGCAAGGCATTCAACCTGCTGAAGATTGTGGGGCTTCCCAGAGAGCACCCCAGCAGGGGAGCAGTCTTCAGTCGCTGCTTCCTCTAAACAGGGCGTCGAGTGAGAAGCAGCCTCCTGAACACATGCACCAACATGAATGTGTCTGTAAACTCCTAATTGAGAGTGATAAGCCGCCACCAGACTCTGAAGGGCAGGCGTCTTTGTAGGTCACAGGTTGCCGAGAAAGCTAAGCTCAGTGCCGCTGATTGACACTTGGAGCAGTTACATTGTTCTGTGGCCTTCGTGGGTTACTGTGGTTTGCAGGGGAGCTGCCATCAGATCTTTGCCTGAGTCTGTAGGCTCAAGCCTTCTGAAGGCCCCCACAGTCGCTGCAAGGGGAGCAACATGGAAATGAGCTTCATTGTCTAGAATTTCAAAAAGCCCTGCAGCCATGAGGTGACAGCAAAACTCTGAGCAAAAGTCCGGGCGAGCAGGGAACTATGAACAACTTGTAAGAGGTGTGGTTCATTGAATCCAGCCTCAGAGCAAGAGTTTTCATGTTTTCAGAATGAAGATGCATTTTTTAAAAACGTACTAGGTACTTACCCGAGGCCATGGTTTGACCTGCAGATGACTTCAACGTTTGGAACTATGGAATGCAGAATGAAAACTAAAAGTATGGCTGAAGACAAAAGGCACGAGGAGATGGTTATCTTTCTCTCTAGCACTACTGAACTATTACCTTAGGAAGAATATATTTAGAGCATGGAAGTCTATTAACTTTTCCTCATTTTAAATGTTCTTTTTAATTACAGAGCCACTTAGAAAATATTCTAGCTTTTCATATCAGTGTTTTCTTCTCTGTCTTATCCCGGTGTAGATAAGCCAATTTCTTTTACATATCTGAGCTGCTCATTAATTAAGAAAAACTCAGCATTAGTTACCGTTCATGAGTCCTCAAAAACACAAAATTCCACATTCCAGCATGTGTTACATTAAGTGGAAAAGATTTGTCTAATGCTGTCCTCATTTTTAGTGCAGGTGAAAAAAAAAAAAAACCAAAAAAAACCCAGAAACACTTGATTTTGAAGTAGCTCTTTCAAATCAGGGCAAGAAAAATATTACTTCTGAAAGTCGTATGCAACACCTGTAACCAGCGCATCCCTTCTTGTCTGTGGTCCTCATTACAGTCATTTCACACCCTCTCACCCCCTTGTCCCGGAAGGCTGCTGGGCAGAAGTCCCCGAGCTGCTGGTGCCACAGGGAGGAGTTGAGGGGGTGGGGCAGTGCGGTGCACGTGCGCAGCGCTCTGACTTGAGGCTTCCAGGAGACGTGATGGGTTTCAAAACAGTGTGCAAGATCTCCCCTCGTTTGTGACACCAAGATGTTCCTATGGAGCCCACCCAGCCCCTCCCGACCACCTGCATTCCCAAGGAAGCCCTGTGACCTCTCCGGTCACCCAGCCATCATGGGACCGGCGGTGACAGCTTTTTTTTTTTTTTTTTTTTTTTGAGATGGAGTCTCGTCTCGCTTTTTCACCCAGGTTGGAGTGCAGTGGCGCGATCTCGGCTCACTCCAACCTCCGCCTCCCAGGTTCAAGTGATTCTCCTGCCTCAGCCTCACTAGTAGCTTTGATTACAGGCGCCTGCCACCACACCTGGCTAATTTTTGTATTTTTAGTAGAGATGGAGTTTCACCATGTTGGCCAGGCTGGTCTTGAACTCCTGACCTCAAGTGATCCGCCTGCCTCAGCCTCCCAAAGTGCTGGGATTACAGGCATGAGCCACTGTACCCAGCTGGTGACAGCTCTTGATGCCAAGCCCCTGTTTGAACACAGAGGTGCCTGAGCTGCGGTGAAGTGCTCAGCACATGACGATCTCATTTTCAGCACCCCCATTTTTATGGCAAAACATGCAATATGTGTTTCTATTTACATGACATAGGAAGGTGTCATCCACAAAGTGCGTTTTTCTCTCTAAACAAACGTTTCATACATTTATTGAATCCTAAAAATGGGAAGAACCTCAGAGATGACTGATTCTGAAGTGTATCCCAGAGAGTATGTGTGCCTCCAGAGTGTAGACTCAGAGTAGTGGAGCCTGAATGAACCCCAGAGGCCATCTCCTCTGAAGTGCATGCTTGGCTGAGGAGGCTAAGCCCCAAAAAGGCTGAAATTCCCAAAAAGCACCCCAGACTATGATAGCCAACCCTTGTCCCAGCCTGCCCAACCCTGCTTTGCGCTTTTTTCCATTATTGTGTGAAATCAATGTCTTCTGTCTCTTCCTTCCAGAGAAAAATTATAATAATTCTTTTAATCAGGGCAGCAAGACATTTGACAAAGTTTCCTTAGACCTTGGTATTAGATTTTAATGTTGCAGAGAGTTCTTCACTAGTGAAAACAGTACTGACATATGTTAGAAATATATTCCATTCAGGTCTGTGAGTCTTCACTAATTCCAGGGTGTGTCAAGTTCAGTGTAAAAGTCTCTTTGGCAACTCACTGGCTCTGTTCTCCTGAGCTGATACCTTGGTACTTCTCTGATTTGGCCAGAATTACCTGATGTGTTGCTTTGTCTAGTTATACATCTTTACACATATTTCAAGAAAGTTTATTTCTAAATTCGTAGCATTGTTTTCTTCCCCTTAATGGAGAGTGTTCTGTTTTAATGTTTTGGCTCCTTTTTATTCCCAGTGGTTTTTTTTGTTTGTTTGTTTGTTTGTTTAGACAGAGTCTTACTCTGTTGCCCAGTCTGGAGTGCAGTAGTGCGGTCTCAGCTTACTGCAAACTCCGACTCCCAGGGTCAAGCAGTTCTGCCTCAGCCTCCCAAGTAGCTGGGATTACAGGCGTGCACCACCACACCCAGCTAATTTTTGTATTTTTAGTAGAAATGGGGTTTCACCATGTTGGCCAAGCTGGTCTCAAACTTCTGACCTCAGGTGATCCGCCTGCCTTGGTCTCCTGAAGTGCTGGGATTACAGGCATGAGCCATTGCGCCTGGCCCCCAGTGTGTCTTAAAATATTACATTTTCTACCTAATTTTTATAATCTACAGTTTATAATTCAAAGGCCTTTTTATCTTATTAAGATATATTACGAAGTCATTTCTAAAAGAGTTTATAAATCTTCAACATTTATTTGTTCTCCAGTATCCTATTTTAGCATTTTAACAGAAAGTAACAGTATCCTACTTATTTGGAAACTCAGCCACAAAGTAACTGAATAAACTTTTTATACAAAGCAAAAAAAGAAAAAAGTAAACACCTCTAAGATCAGCCTTCTCTTTTGAAATACCTTTACACTGAGGTATATTTATTTACAAAGACAAATATATGCTTACATTTTTATAGAACATCTAAGTTTTATTGAAATATTAGCAAATCAATAGCCAGGTACGATCACTCCCTTCATTCACCCTGGGACTTGTGCATAGGCCAGACTCCCGGGATGTCAGCCGCATGTGATGTGGAGATAACTGTGATCTTATTATCTGAAATGTTTGAATACGGAGAGGGTCCCAGTCTTCATTAGAAAGAAACTTAACCAGGACAGTAAATATGTTCAATTCCTCTTAAAATGTCCAATTTACTGATAAGTGGGGCACATTTTTTTTCATTTAAAAAAAATTGGAATGGCCACCTTAAGGCAAACATTTGAGAAGAAGAAAAATAATACAAATATATTACTTACAAAACAATACAAAAGTGTCTCAGACCAAAAAAAAAAGAAAAAAAAATACAAAAGTGCCCATTCCATGTTGCCATTAGACCAGTTAGTCTTCAGACAGGACTGTCACCATCAATTTTTCATTTTTAAAGGATTTTAATTCTTTCAGCATGTTCATATGGTTTTATAAAGCCCCAGATACCCAGCAAATCCCCTTGGTGTTGTAAGACAAGATTGCTGTTAAAAAATGTTTAGGCTTAGTCAGCTTCTTCTCACTGCTGACTTCACGAGGGGCTCTGGGAAATGGTGTTTATACTGAGCTTAAATTGATAGGGCAAGTTTAATGCAATTGGGTCAAAGGTACAACTGCTTAGCTGGTCTCATCAACCACTCAGGTTTCAGCATGGGTTTATAAAGAGCAGTCTGTAATGATAACATCTGGCTGCTTGAGCGTGACTGCATTTTGCCTGCTATGATTGAATGGAATTTAATGGTGGGAGGAGAAAAGCTGGGGCAATTTCATTTTTGAGTTATGGTTCTAGATAGATAAGACAAAATGGTAGACTTTGATTGGTCTGAGGCCGGCCATCTCGCAGATTGCTTAACAGACCTGCTTCTTCTATAGAACCCTACCGTCACCACTCTCAAAGACAGCTGTCCTCATTGAGTCAATGGTAGAGGCATGGGGTGGGCACAGCTGCTCTAGGCTCATGTGTGTCTGCACGCTAGGCCTCCTCTTTGGCATTGCTCTTCTCGCTGAGTTCTGGTTTGTTGCTCTGTGGAGACTGTGAAGGTCCTAGCGCTCAGCAGAAAACACAGTGCCCTTCCCCCAGAGGGTGCTCCATTAATGGGAGAGTTGACTCCATTCACTGCTGGGCAGAAGGTGGATAGAAAGCCAGTGCCAAGCTGAGTTCAGGCTGTCAAAGAGAGGAGATGAAGAAGTTAGTTCCCAGTCTCCACTATCGTTCCGCTTAGAAGGACACTGTGACCTTGAGGACCAAAAATGTAAATGTCATAAGTCAGCCGTAGACGTTACAGGAGAAGCCTACTACGCAACACCTCCAGAGAGGGACCAGCTTAAACTGTAGCTCCGGATCCCAAGGGTCCTTTTCATTCTGTGGAAACTCGGTGATTCCATTAGTGATCACACCACCGTCACGTGAAAAGCTGACTGTATAATTTCATATTGCCTAAGGTCTTTTATAGTCTTCTCAACTTCACCTTTGGATCATTGAGTGTATAACCTTTTAAATTTGCAAGAACTTTTAATATAAACAAGTAGGTAGACAAACAGGTAGGGATTTACCTCCCTGGTGTAACTAGGCTGAGAGGGTAGAGGAAGGGTCAGGGCTGTACACTTAGCACTTAACCATATTTCCTCCATAAATAAGAAATATTCTTGGTCTTGGTGCATCATCAGGACCAACAGGAGAGGAACCCTAGCCCACCAGATCCACACTGTAAAATAAAGACGGCACAGAAAAGGAGGGGATGCAGGTACTGTGGTGCAGGGGAGAGGATGCTGGGCAGAGCAGGACTCCCGTCTCTAGGATCTCAGAGCGACTTGACCCTCAGGGACTCTCACGGCCTTTGCTGCTTCATCCATAACAAGGGGCAAATGCCTAATCAGTTCACTTCCCATACACTCAGCCCACTTATATGAAAGCCCTCCTGTAGACCGGAAGCCCTACATGAATGGAAGTGTCGTTGTCACTCCTCTGCTGATGACCCACTTGGCTGTCAGTGTGCCCAGAGGTCGAGTTTAACTCCTCCAAGTCGCTGAAATTAAAAATACGGTCTCCAGAAGGAAATAGTCTATGTATTATAGGACTCAACTTGACATACCAAATCCAAACCTACCAGATATATTAAGGTGATATTTAGAAAGTAGTTCTTATTTGAGCTCAGGAGAGCTTTTTCACACAGCGGGCTTCCTTGTAGCCTGAAGACATGATGATATGTACACAGACCCTGTTTTTCTAGGGCTGTTTAGCTATTATGTGTAGCAAGGCACACGTGTATCCTCCTTCATCCAGTTGTGGCCCATCGAGGCAGGAGTATGTGGCCCCCAGAGAGCAGAAAGGAGGCCTCCTGCTCTGGTCCTGGTAAAGGAAGGAAACCAAGACATGGAAAACAACAGCAAAGCCTTCTGCCCCGTGCACCTTCCTGGCAGATCTCATTCCTACCCAAATGGGTAGGAAAATGGGGGAAAGTAATGTATAAAGTGAACCCCAAGTAAGTATTCTGTTGTACTAACAAGCCAGAGGTCTGTCTCCCTTCCTCTTTTACATTCATATTTCATTGTCACTTTCGATTCTTAGGCTGGCCCATTACCTCCCTCAAACAAGGAACTGAAACAAATCTCTTTAAAGCAATCATGGTTATACATTTTATATTTCATTGTCACTTTTGATTCTTAGGCTGGCCCATTACCTCCTTCAAACAAGGAATTGAAACAAATCCCTTTCAAGCAATCATGGTTATATATTTTGTGCCCTTAAAAGTATAAGCCAGGAGGGGGGAGAGATAGCATTAGGAGATATACCTAATGTTAAATGACGAGTTAATGGGTGCAGCACACCAACATGGCACATGTATACATATGTAACTAACCTGCACATTGTGCACATGTACCCTAGAACTTAAAGTATAATAATAAAAAAAATTAAAAAGTATAAGCCACCTCTGAATATAGTGATCAAAGATAAACTGCCAACTGCCACTTCCACCAGTCATACTCTGTCCAAGAGATACACGTACTCTGTGGTAGAGATGTGCAAAGCCAGCTGAGTATGCAGAAGTCTATCTGTATTCACATAGCACGTGTGGTGTGTGAGAGCGATCCTGGTGAACAATAGTGACGTGAATATGTTCATTCTACAGTTAGGACGCTTCTAACTTTAGTTTCAAAATGTTTCTACTGCACTATACCTTGGTATCAATGAGATTTTTAAAAAATCTCTACCCACATGTGAAGCCTCTTTACTACTATATAATCACTAGTACTTTCCAAATTAAATATTATGCTTACATTATTAAACATTAGCATTGCCCCCTGTTAGGCCAGAACTGTGGCTGATCAGGGAATAGTTTACATGAGTCTCAAACATGTCAATGTGACAGAGTGACACAGTAAATCACCTCTAACCAGTATGGCTTATACTCAAAAGCACATTGCTTTCAGCTTCGTTATGTGATTGTCCGTGCTGTGCCTGTAGGAGTGGCCAGACACCATGAATCGGGGACTCTAGGGAGAACAGGACACTCATTCATCTCACGCCTCTCTAAGGAGAAACAATTCCTCTCCTCTGAAGAGAATACTCACGGTCTCCCATGTGAGTGAACGATGAAGTTGTAAGAACACTCCCCCACCTCACTGTTGGTGACAGAGGACAGTGTGGTTCCAGGGGGTGGGCAGGTGAGAGGGTCCAGAGAGTGAAGGAGATGCTTGGATGATCCAGAAATCTGGGGCCAGCTCATTGGCCCAGACTTTCATTAGTTTTGACTGAAGGCTGACACAAGATTCAAGTAGCAAAGGGCAGATTCTCGGCCTTACAGAGAAATGATAAAGATTCCAAGAGTTGATTTTTGCAGTAAGAATGGGTAACATTTAAGAAACACCAAAGTAAAATTTGACTAGGTTACTTCTTTTTCTTTTTATAAGCAACTTTTAGCCTAATTATTGTAAAGAACTATAACGGGGCATGCATGTGATTTATTTGTTGAAATAAATGTAAGCACTTATCCAACAAATTCTTACTGGGTGCCTACCGTGTGCCAGGCACTGCTCTGGGTCCTGAGGGTGCTAAGCCAGTAGGTGACTTATTCCAACAAATTACAACAAATAAATTACATGCTCCCATTCATACAGGAGGGCACAGACCACAAACATGTTAATAACATGTCAGGAGGAGATCTGTGCCATGAAGAAAAATAAAGCAGGGTAAAGGTGATCAAGGAAGGCCTCTCTGATGAGACATTTCAGCAGAGCCATGAAGGAAATGAGGGAGCAGGGCACACGGATCTTCACCAGTCACCGGGGGACTCCTGTGCAAAGGCCCTGTGGCAGGTGTATGCTTTGCCAGTTGAAGGAACAGCAGTGGGGCCAGTATTCCTGGCACAGAGAAATGGTGAGGGCAGTAGCCACAAGCAGTCACATAAGGCGGTGCAGGCCAGTGGTAGGGTTTGGGGTTCCAGGCTGTGAGGAGGAGGGCCGCCGTGTACTTGCATTCACAAAAACATCACTGGTACCTTTGGAAAAATTCCGCAGGGGCAAGGATAAAAGCAAGGAAAAGGGAGCTTGGTTTCCTGCTCTTCTAGGAGAGATGATAGCTAAAATCTCTTCTAGGGAACTTTGGGACGTTTCAGTTAAGTAGGTGAGAACAAGAAGCAATATGGGGGTGCTTTGGTGAAGGAGGTCCCACAGTTCAGACTGAGCTGGGCTCCTAAATGAAAACAGTGGCTGCCTTTTCTGAGCCAACGACCTGCACGGTGCTTCTGTGCGTTGCCATCACTTCCCAGCATCCCTAACGAAGGGTGCAGAGACACCCCAAGTTGAATTTCTCTCCCTTTCCTTATCAGTGCATGTTCTAGAAAAGCCATAAGACACTATGAAAAGCTACAGTCTGCTCCTAAGTATCATATTTGAGCAGTAAGTTCTAAGAAATTCTATTTTAGGTTTGACATCTGGCTAAAGGAAATCAGAGAAAGAAATGTCATATTTGAAACAGAAAGGTCAAACCCCTTACGATATCCAGAAAGGAGGGAAGTAGGAAGCTTTTAGTAAAATAAATAAATGCAAACCTATATCCTTATTCTGACAGTCTCGTTGGGAGGATTCATGCACTATGGAAGTTTTGCTTCTGAATCTGTGCTCATTCTTTATTCAACAAACTTTAATTCATCCCCAAAGTAGCATTCCTCCCAGCTGACTGCCCTCAGCATCTTGGCAGGAGAGAACACAAAATGTTATGCAGCAGTAAGCCCTAAATTTGTGTTTCTGTCAAATAATTGGGAAAATGTTGGAATGATTTTTTTCAGCTCATCTTTGTTGAGAATTTAAGGCATTTCCCTTGGCTCTCAGGACAGTTTATATACATCAACATAAAGCAGCTGATGTCATATACAGAGTCCACTTGCCTGCTTCTCCTTGGATGTTCCAGTGGTACAGACAGGCCTGGACCTCCCACTCCCACCTCTGGGCCCTCCCCACCTCTCTGAGACTGTCCTCAGATCAACTGTACTTCTTTGTGTGGGAACTCTAATCCTTGGATTCCAAGGTACTGGTCACCCATGCCACAGGTTCCAGAATTCAAAGTGGAGCCCCCAGCACACACGGTGCTGCTATCATTTCTCCAGCTGTTCCCAAGTCTGCACCTTCTGCAGCTCTTCCCAGAGGCCCTCCTGCCATGTCACTGTTTCCAACGTCCAGAGTCCTTACCTGTCTGTGGTGGTGTGGGATCACTGTCATCATCCACACATGGACTCGATTCTGATCCTGCCTGAAAACTCACCATTGCCACCTCAGTTTCCCAGTGCTAAGATAAGAATAAGATGAAGTAATGTTCACCTGGGGGAGCTGATCTGAGGATTAAATAAGTGAATGCTGTAAAGGTCTGGAACACAGAAGGCACCGAGAAGTGCTGGCTCCCTTCCTTCCTTTCCCAGTCCCGCACAATGCCTTCCAGCCACGCAGTTCCTCTCTCTCCACCAGCAGCTTCGGAGCCAAGGCGAGTCGCCATTTGTGACTCCCGGTGCTCCTGCTGTAGGATTTCATCTAGTTCTCAGGTCCTTCCTCCATCTCCCCAGTGTAGCTGTCTGTCATGGGTTTTTGATGACCCTCAGATGATAGCCTCCTCCATGCTTCCTCCATTTTCTGCCCCCTCAGGCACCCACCCGCCCCTTAACAATGACATCCGACTGTCCACTGCCTAGTCCGCCTCAGCAGCAGGGAATGCTGAAGCAAGGGCTGCACCCCCCATCACTGCAGCTGGACCCAGCAGTGGATTTGCTAGAGCTTGCTCTTGCTCACTCGCTCTCTGTCAGACTCTTACTAACTCTTTTGGGTTGGAACGTGGTTGAGGAAGATCCGGGCAGGGTCCTCGGACAGCCTGTCAGCAGATCTCCTGCAGCCACAGTCCCACTTGCTGGGGATGGCGAGGGCTGGGGAGTGGGTGAGCTTCTTGACCTGCCACTAGCACGCCTCCGTGTGTGCTGGATCAGGTGCTTCCAAACTACATTCCCAGACCCACTCGGGCTTGTGTGGCCTCAAGCAAGCCGCTTAACCTGTTTCCTTATATGTCAAATGGAGGTAATCATACTTAACGACATCACAGGGGTGTCGTCTATATTAATTAATTAATGTTTGTAGTGAGCTTTGAAGATGCAAAGCTGCTTAAATGTTGAGGTATTCTGATGATAGTCCTTGCGTGTTATTAGAACCTTCCCAGGTTCCTGGACCATCACTCACTGATTACAACTAGGATCTAATAGCACCTGCTGTGCAATCCACTCAGGGATCTATGGCACGACCCATGAGGATTTAACCCAAATGGATAATTGAAAAAGGTATCAGTGAGGCCTGTACGCAGACTTCAGGCCAGTTACAGCGCTCCGTAGCAGTTTTCCAGAAGCCGAGAGGACTGCCCCATGGTATTTGCTGCAAATGGTGTTCGTTGTAATCACGTGGGAACTCTGATCCTTAGATGCCAAGGTACCAGTCACCCAAGCCACATCTTTTATGTGGCGCTGCTCAGATATGGATTGAAAACTGCTTGCTGGGACTTGTGATCTGCTTGGGCCATATCTCAAGGTCATGATGGGAGGAAATGGAGGCCATCTGTTGTGATCAGCTGTGATTCATTTACAAACCTGTGGAACTATGCTGGAAAGAAGGAATTACTACCATGGTTGTCTTCTAGGCAGCTCTCAAAGACTCCAGGTCCGCATGAGAATATTCTTTGCCGCCAACATCTCCTGTCATCTCGTATTGCCTGTACTTCACAAACTAAATCAGTAGGTTGAATTCAGATACTAGATACTAATAATCAGAACAGAGAGAATCCACTCCCACATCTTGTTTGAGATATGCCTCTTATTCAGTTGATCTGCATCCCCGCGTCTCGCAGCTTTCATCACACTGCCTGACTACTTGAACCGGAGGTGTGATTCCTGTGCCTTTTCCTCATTGACACATGTTTTCATTTTCTCCTACTGGATGAGCCACATGTGACCCCCTACATCCGTTCTCCTCCCCGGCCTCTCCGCAGAAACTCATCCCGTGTCTGCAGTATTGTCAAAGTTTCAGAAAGCCAAAATGGCGTTCTTAGTTTTCTGGGCACATTGTGTTGTTTTTGTTTCTTTTGGATTTTGGATGCTGTCAACCTAAAGACACTAAAAGCCCCCACTCTTCAAGATTTGTGTGAAAAATTAACTCTGGATGTTTTTAAATTCCTACAGCTGAAATCCTAGACTTTGCCTTAAAAAAATGATGCTGGTGCCAATAGGACCCCTTGCTTGAAATGTAATTGGCACATGGTTTGGTGGCTTTGCCTGGCCCATCCCATGATGATTACCCCCAGATATGGTCAGCAGGGGCTTTCCAGGAATGCTTTAGCAAGGAAGGATGCGGGTGTACATAACACAGCAAGCATATCATCTTCTTCAAGGTGCCACTTAGGCACCTCCTGTAAGAACACAAGCAGGTCCGCGGCTGGGGAGCCACGTGACGCATGCAGGGTGTCTCTCACTGGACGTTGGAGTCTAGGCCACCGAGACTTCCTTTTGGGGTGCACCACAGGGAGCCCAGGTTTAAAAAGGACTTCCTTTTTCTGGTTAACATATATTAACATGTCAGGGAAACTAATTGGGTTTAAAATGGCTGTTACTCTTTCTTTTTTTTTTAATGGATATTATGTAACAATTATGATCATCTTTTTACTAGAAGTTTCTGAGCTTCAGTTACTCAGTTTCCTGAATAACAAAGTCTTTCTCAAGTAATTCAGTGTTGCTGAGAGAACCATTGAAGTTTATTATGATACATGGTCAGGGTGAAAAGTGTCCTCTGCCCGAAACAGATTCACTATATGGGAGTATGGGGCAGGGGGGCAGTGAGAGAAGCAGCTACCCTATCCTGTTGCCCCCTCAGTGGCATCTGCCCTTGGTCCACTGGGTGCTATCACCCAGCTGCCAACCTTTTCCTGTCCACCCAGCCCCTTCCTTGCCTGAACCTATCTGGGTAGACAGTATGGATATTGCTTATTGGTACAACACCCTATCACACCCAAAGCAAGGTACCCAGGCTGTAACTGGGAGGACTGGGATGGAATGCATGTGAGACAGGCCCCTCCCGAGACAGCCATAGTCCCAAGAGACCTGCTTTAGTTGAAACTCTGTCCCCATGGGACCTCATTGGGATGAAAGGTTCTGACACTGATGTATCATGAAGCTTGCACAATGTGGTAAAGTTACTAAAGGCCACTGAATCGTGCAGTTGAAACGAGTGAATTTTATGATATGTAAAACATGCAACAGTGATGTTTAAAAAAAAAAAAAAGGCCCTGCCACCGAAGAGCCCACAGCATCCAGTGTCCCCTGCCCAGCCTCCCTCCACAGAGCAGGAACTGCATACACCCCACAGAGGCCCATGGTTCATGAGGAATAGCAGGAACTGCATACGCCCCACAGAGGCCCATGGTTCATGAGGAGTTTGCCACTGGCCCACAAGGCTGCCTTTTCCACTCTCAGAAGGCCATCAGAAAGTTGTTTTGGGTTTTTTTTCCTATTAAACTCAAACCTGCCTCACGTGACTTCTACATATATCTACCCCAAGTAGTTCCAGCCCCTCACAGCCTTGTGAGAGCCGTTCAGGTATTCCAGGACGTCTCTTTTCTCTAAGCAAACTCTCATTGCTCCCTGGATGTTTGTAACTGCGAGCTTGGCTGGGGCAACAGTGCCATGCCGGCAAGGTGACAATAGTCAGAATGTTGGCCTTCCCAAGCGTGTGCCTCAGTTCCTGTCTGTGAGCAGAAAGCCGAGCTAAATAGTCTCAAGCAACTTAAATATTCTAGAGTCTGTGATTTGAGACAAATAATTCCAAATGTATATGTTGATTTTTTAAATCTTACTCTAGAAGTATTTTTTTATTTTTCTGTGAAAGTATTCTTTAAGAAAACAATATCATTACCCATTCAGAAAGACTGATGTTTCTTTTCATTCAACTGAGTGTGTCATACAGTAGAGGAAGCATTCCATAATGATGGAGAGCTTCCCTCTGCCTGTCCAGGAGGATGCCTGTGATGCACTCTCACCTGGACACAGGTAGGCAGAGCGCTGGGCTGTGTGGGCGCAGGGCCGAATGCCAGCAGTCGGTGGGATGATACTCTTATGTTCCTCAGCAAGGCCCAGGTGGGAAAGCCTTCGGGAAAATGCGACTTCGCAAATTGCAGCTTCAGCTTTGAAACAGTGAACAAGTTGAAGGGTCCTCAGTAGAGAAGCAACATCTGCTGGGTGATGACTGGTGTTTTCATCCCAATCCCGGTGAAGAGATCATGCTGTGGACACCTTCAGTAGGAAGGACAGTGGCATGTATAAAGGCAGCTCACGATGGACCACCCAAATTGAAGGCAAATAACCCTCAAAATTATGTCTTTTCACTTGGAATTCAGAGGCACGTTTTCTAGATAATCATTCAGGTATCTATTTGCAAACACACACCCCCGGCACTCCCTGCCTCTGAGCAGTTCCAAGAGAATGCTCCAGAAACTCCAGACCCCGGCGCTACGCAAGGCAGGCCTGTAGAGGCAGCCAGTTTGCTGCCATGCGCAGAGCTCACTTCACTTTAAAAAGGGGAGGGGGATGGGATGCCACTTAGTCTAATTATGGGATTTTCTTTTTCTTTTTTTTTTTTTTTTGCTTGAGTTCTTTGTTACAAGGATCTTTTAGGAGTAAAGAATAAAAGAAATGACAGAGAATTTTGCCCAACTCTCCAGGGAGAGAGAAAGTAAGTGGGATAGAAATTGGTGAGTGCGGGGCACCTGCCCCCGACTGTCATTTCTGATGGAAACGTTTTGAGGCGCCCACATGGTTGCTGCTCCCACAGGAATACTTAGGACAGGAAATCTGGTCTCGCCTCACAAACTCAGCCAGTGAAAGAGCCGTGTGAACACCAGTTAATAAATGCCTATGTCTGTCTTTAACAATGGAGGGTATCAGTGTCCTGCTTGAAAGCATTCCTAGGCTAGTCAATGCTGTAAAATAATACAGAAAACTGACATTTTTATTGTGGCACGAGTTACCATACAGCGGCTATCTGCTGGCTCATCTGGTTTTTATAATCTGCCATGTTGCTGTCATACTGAGACTTGACCTGCTGTCTTCAGGCACAGCCTCTCTCATTTCAGCACCTGCCTAAGTGCATAAGCACCGCTTCCAGCACAGAGGTCGATGGGTGCTGTCCACCTTGCACCTGCGCTGTCTCTTTCTCCCTTCAGTCCTCACTCTCCACTCTGTCTGGGGAAGAATGTCCTTGAAACAGAGATTCCAGCAGGCCCATGACACATCGTCAGGGACTTCATGCTTGTCAGTAGTCTAGTGGCATCAAAGATCTCTTTAAGAGGATTCGTGGTCAGCCATCCATGAATCAGTCAAGAGGACCAAGGCTCCCAAGGAGCCAATGGTCATCCTGTGGCAAAAGAAACCCTCTTGCTGTCCCCACACCAAGGAGCCCCTCTGCAAGTGGACAGGGCAGAGTGGCCTTGGGTGAGATGTGCCCCCCGCCACTGAGACCTCCAGCATGGTGCTCTTGGCGCCAGACTTCAGTCTTTCCTTGTGGCTAGTGAAGGTAAAGATTGCCTCCTGGGGAAGAGGCTGCTTGAAGGGACACTCAGCACTTCTCCAACAAAGTCCTGTACAGGTAGTATCTCAGTTATACGGTAGAAGGAGGCACCGTGTACAGCCAGGAGCCAAGCCCAGATCCAGAAGATGTAATTTTTTTTTTTTTTTGAGACAGAGTCTCGCTCTGTCGCCCAGGCTGGAGTGCAGTGGCGCGATCTCGGCTCACTGCAACCTTTACCTCCCAGGTTCAAGCGATTCTCCTGCCTCAGCCTCCTGAGCACTTGGGATTACAGGCACACACCACCACACCCAGCTAATTTTTGTATTTTTTTAGTAGAGACGGGGTTTCACCATGTTGGTCAGGCTGGTCTCGAACTCCTGACCTCGTGATCTGCCCACTTCAGCCTCCCAAAGTGCTGGGATTACAGGCATGAGCCACCACTCCCGGCCCCAGAAAATGTGAATTTGTGTTTTTTTGTGTTTTCCAACAATCATATCAATCCTACATGACCATGTATACTGATTCACCATTTATGGAACTCTTCACAGATGTTGTCTCCTTTGAGCCTGAATTTGTGATGGCAAATCTGTCTGGTGAACAGCGTGAAAAAGAAAGAGGGCAAAAACCATTTTTGGAGCTCTTGGAGACAGTAGTGACATTTCAAAGGCTCAAACACCGGGGCCAGGAGACCACTGACTCATAAGGCATTTATTTTCTGTTTTAGAAAGTTCCATTAACCTTATCTGAAAAATGGGCTAAGTTTTGGAAAATTAATCTTATTAGTTAAGATCAACTTGTATAAATAAAATTCAGGCTAATACATTTGGCAGATGTCCTAGAGCCAGGGCCATGGAGACAGGTGTTCTGGGTTCCAGCATCAGCTCCACCACGCACTCTCTGTGTGACCTGGGTCCAGTTGCTCACCTCTATGTGCCTCAGCCTCCACATGTATGACCTGGCTGTGGGGTGTGCGTGACATCACAATGTGATTCTGACTCTGAGGACATTATCATTAACACATATACACTGTGGCCAAATTAGAAATCATGAGTTGTTGAATCTGGGAATGTATCCGCAGGCTCATCATGCTCTTGTCTCCGGTTTTGTATAAAAATATGTTAAAGACAGCCAGGCGCGGTGGCTCACACCTGTAATCCCAGCACTTTGGGAGGCTGAGGTGGGCAGATCACCTGAGATCAGAAGTTTGAGACCAACCTGGCCAACATGGTGAAACCCTGTCTCTACTGAAAGTACAAAAGATTAGCAAGGCGTGGTGGCTGGCGCCTGTAATCCCAGCTACTCAGGAGGCTGAGGCGGGAGAATTGTTTGAACCTGGGAGGCGGAGGCTGCAGAGAGCCACTGCACTCCAGCTGGGCAACAGAGCGAGACTCCGTCTCAAAAAAAAAAAATATGTGTGTGTGTGTGTGTGTGTGTATGTGTGTGTGTGTGTGTGTAAGGCTTTCAAACGTAAGGAAAAAAACTAATGTAAATATTTTACATAAATAGGAAAATGTGTCAATTGAAAAAAGAATATATACATGTCAGTGCAATATGAAATAGCTTAGTGAGTAGCCTTAGAAATTTAAGAAAAGAATAATCAGAACCCACGTATTCATCCCTGCACATTATTTTTAAAATTTCGTTTACCCAGTTCCCGTGATGTAACCAGCACTGTGCTAGGCACTAATGATACAACAATTAAGGCTCAGATACCCCCAAGGAAGTAGCTCTAGTGTGACACTTTTTGTCTTTTTTGAAAATATACTTTTAATCTCCTTTTTGAAAAGAAAAATGAGAGTTAGTGATTCAGTATAGTGAGTTATTTTATTTTTCAAGTTAAGTATCAGTGGAATTTTTTTTTTTTTTTTTTTGAGACGGTATCTCACTCTGTCACCAGGCTGGAGTGCAGTGGTGTGATCTTGGCTCACTGCAGCCTCTGCCTCCCGGGTTCAAGTGATTCTCCTGCCTCAGTCTCCCGAGTAGCTGGTACTACAAGTGCGCACCACCACGCCCAGCTAATGTTTGTATTTTTAGTAGAGATGGGGTTTCACCATGTTGGCCAGGATAGTCTCAATCTCTTGACCTCATGATCCGCCCACCTCGAGCTCCCAAAGTGCTGGAATTACAGGCTTGTGCCACCATGCCTGGCCCAGTGGGATATTTTTTAAATAATGGTAAAGTACACATAAAACTTACATCTTAACCATTTTCAAGTGTGCAGTTCCGTGGCATTAAGTACATTCACAGTGTTGTGCAGCCATCACCACCACCCATCTCCAGGACTCTTTTTTCCTCTAAAACTAAAACTCTACCCCATTTTCTCCACCCCAAGCTCTGGCAACCACCATTTTTTCCATCTTTATGAATTTGACTACTCTAGGAACTTCACGTAAGTGGAACCATGGAGTATTTGTCTTTTCATAATGGGCTTATTTCACTTACAGCATAGTCGATGCATGATTTATCCATGTTGTAGCAGGTGTCAAAATTGTCTTCCTCCTTAAGGAGGAATAATATTCCATAGCAAATATTACCACAGTCTGTCGATTCATTAATCTGTCAACGGACACTTAGGTTCCCTCCACATTCTGGCTGTTTTGAATAATGCTGCTGTAAATATGAGTGGACAAGTGTCTATTTGAGACTCAGCTTTCAGTTCTTCTGGTTACTAGCCCAGAAGTGGAAATGCCAGATCATATGGTAATTCTATATTTAATTTTTTGAGGAACTACCATACTCGTTTTCCATTACGACTGCAGAGTTTTACATTCCAATCATCAGAGCACAAGGATTCCAGTTTCTACATATTCTTCCCCAATACTTATTATTTTCTGGGTTTTTTGATAGTAAACCTCCTAATGGGTATGAGATGGTATCTCATGGTGGTTTTGACTTGCATTTCCCTAATGAGTAGCGATGTTGGGCACTCTCTTATTTGCTTGTTCTTTCTTTTGTTGTTGTTGTTGTTAAGTTGTAGGAGTCCACTTTGTCTGCTTTTACTCGTGTTGCCCATGCTTTTGGTGTCATATCTAAGAAATCATTGCCAAACCCAATGTCATGAAGCTGTTCTCCTGTTTTCTTCTCAGAGTTTTATAGATTTAAGTCTTATGTATAGGTCTTCAATCTATTTGAGGTGACTTTTATGTACGATGTAAGGTAAGGGTCCAGCTGTGTTCTTTCGCATGTGGATATCCAGTTTTCCAGTACCATTCGTTGAAGAGACTGTTCTTTCCCCGTAGTGTGGTCTTGGTACCCTTGTTGAAAATCAATTGGCCGGGTATATTAGGGTTTACATCTGGGTTTTCTGTTCCATCCTTCGTATCCGCGTCTGTCTTTATGCTGGTTCCACACTGTTGTGATTACTGTATCTTTGTAGTTTTCAAATCAGGAAATGTGAGCTCTCCAACTTTGCTATTGTTTGTTGTTGTTGTTTTCAAAATTCTTCTGGCTATTCAGAGTCCCTTGAGATTCCATGTAAATTTCAAGATGGATTTCTATTTCTGCAAAAACATCATTGGGATTTTGATAGGGATTGCACTGAATCTGTAGATCACTTTGTGTAATGATCTTTACCCTAACAATAGTAAGTCTTCCAGTCCGTGAACACAAGTTGTCTTTGCATTTATTGGTGTCTTTTGCAACTTGCATTTGAAGGCCTATTATAAGTGAAGTACTTGTAAGTGAAGTATATGTGGTCATGGAAAAATAATTTAATCTTTTTCCTACGGCAGTGTACAGTCCAGTTTAAACAATAAGACAAATTGTACAAATAAGAGTGTAGATGGGAAGTGACACTGGCACCTTGGGGACGTGCCACGGGGGTCTGTGGAGGGAGGCATGCATCTGTGCTCCTCAAGGCTGCCGAGCAGTAGGACCTGTGGGAGACAACAGGAGCCACGCGGGCCAGGTGTCTAGTGGGTCGGAGACCTGGGTGACTGCAGGTGGCCCGGAAGGCCAAAATACAATGCAGGCCTGAGGGATCGAGAGGGACATACACAGACACACGTGACCCAGGAGGGCAGGAAGAAGGCCAGCAAGCACACATGAGTGTGGCAGCCTGTACACATCCCACAAGCAGAAGCAGGACAAACAGCAGGTCCGGACAGGAGGGAGACCTCAGTGTCTGAGCTGGCCAGAAAGAAATCCAGTTTATTAAGGTGTCTGTCTGTCTGTCTGTCTGTCTGTCTGTCTCTCTCTCTCTCTCTCTCTCTATATATATATATATATATATAATATATTATATATAAATAATATATATTATATATATTATATATAAATAATATATATTATATATATTATATATAAATAATATATATTATATATATTATATATAATATATTATATATAAATAATATATATTATATATAATATATATAATATATTATATATAAATAATATATATTATATATAAATATATATAATATATTATATAAATAATATATATTATATATAATATATATAATATATTATATATAAATAATATATAAATATATATAATATATTATATATATATTATATATAATATATATATATATATAATATATATATATTTTTTTTTTTAGCGGAGTTTCACTCTTGTCACCCAGGCTGGAGTGCAATGGCACGATCTCAGCTCACTGCAACCTCTGCCTCCTGGGTTCAAGAGATTCTCCTGCCTCAGCCTCCCAAGTAGCTGGGATTACAGGTGCCTGCCACCACAGCAGGCTAATTTTTGTATTTTTAGTAGAGACAGGGTTTCACCATGTTGGCCAGGCTGGTCTCGAACTCTTGACCTCAGATGATCCACCCGCCTCGCCTCCCAAAGTGCTGGGATTACAGACATGAGCCACCACACCCGGCCTGTTAAGGATAATCTTAGAAGATTTCTGATCTTAGCTCTCTCAGTTCCACCAAGAGAAAGCTCAGATTAACGTTTCTGAGTTCTGCACTGCTGCCAGCAGAGAAAACATCAAACAAGGAACTTTCATTCCCCAGCACGTGCCAGTGCAGGAGACACCCGACTGAGTGTGTGATGTTGAAGTTCATTGTTTCTATCTCTAAAGCACCCTTGAAAAACAAGGCATTTGGGCAGCTATACTTTTAAATAGGAACAAGCGAATATTGTTGTTTATCGAGTGCCAGGTGTAGGGCTTTTGCATACACATTATCTCATTTACTTCCTTACAACTCTGTGGGGTAGGGCTCATGGGTCTATCTAAGGATGGAGAGGTTGGCACGGAGATCACCTCAAAGATGGTAAAAACTGAACAGTCACATTTGTGTGATGCCAACCACAGGCTCACATCTGAATCTGTTTTCTCCCAGAACAGAGATGAGGGCCAGGGCAAAAGTCTAGCTTCAGACCTGGACAGGATGAGCCAAGTATGTCCCACGCCCTGGGTGCGGCCCCCAACAACTGTTCTTCTAGTTAAAGGAGGGTGTGCCCATGGGATGGCCAGGACCCTGGTGACACCAGCCCTGGAAGTGAAGATGCACAGAGCATCTGAGAAGGAGGCTCCAGGAGAACATCTACCTCCCTTCCCTGTTCTTTGCCAGGAAGGTTGAGATGCCAGTCCCAGGACAGTGTGCACAGAACTATTCCTGTGAGACACCATGCTGGGCCTTAGTGAGCCATGCCAGGCTGCTCCCTCACACCAGCCGGACTCTTTGAACTTGTCATTGAATTTTCCAAACCAGCATGATGGGTGTGAGCTGATGACCCAGTGAGAAGGGGTGCATGCTGCCACTGGTGTGGGCTGCTCCATCAAACCAAGCACAATGCCACACTCCTGGTGGAGCTGCGGCCCAGCATGGCCATCGTCATCCAGATAGCAGCTCAGCAGGGCAGGTGCACCCACTCAGGACAAGCCTAATTTTCCTCCCATGCAGGGCCCAGGAAAACCACTCACCAATCTTCACTGTAGAGCTGGCCCTGCCTTCTCAGGGGACATGGCAGGGTTGCCGAGTACTTTTCTGTTTCATTCATCTACTCATTTGCTTTTCAATCTAACAAGACTGTTTTATTCTTTAGAGCATTTAATCTTAAGAGTCAGAGGATGAGAATAGAAAATTGGCTGGGCACAGTGGTTCACGGCTCTAATCCCAACAGTTTGGGAGGCCAAGGCAGGTGGATCACTTCAGGTCAGGAGTTCAAGATCAGCCTGGACAACATGGCGAAACCCCCATCTCTACTAAAAATACAAAAAAAAATTAGCCAGGCATGGTGATGCACACCTGTAATCCAGCTACTCGAGAGGCTGAGGTGGGAGAATCACTTGAACCTGGGAGGCGGAGGTTGCAGTGAGCTGAGATCACACCACTATACTCCAGCCTGGGTGACAGAGCGAGACCCTATATCAAAATAAATAAGTAAATAAATGTGTTTAATCAGTAGACAGTAAGGGTTAAGAGGGTTTTTCCTCTGTGCTTGACCATTAAAATGAACGAAGAATTGGTAGGAGAAGGCTTTGAGTGATTTGGATTCTGCCTGAATCTGAACGGACTGGAATATTTCACACGTTCTTAAAAGGTGCCACTGTACCAAGCCATCTGATGGGACACACCAGGAGGGCTGAGAACCTAAGGAGTCTCTTATGTCTTTAAAGGAAGAAATAAGCATATAATTAATGGTTGGTTTTTTTTTTCCTGGGCATGAGTTGGATCAAAAGAGAGCTGTCAGAGCCATGGGCAGGAGATGATCCTGTCAGTCTTTGCTGGGCTCACGGCTGCCCTGAAAGTTAAAACTCTTGGTACGATAAATGCAGTTGCTGATAGTATTGGCACCAGTCCCCACGAGCTAGATGAGGAAAGGAAAAGGAGGCCATCTCAGAGCTGCGTGGCCGAGGGAACCTAGATGATTACGGCCAGCATTGCCACTTTACAGCTGAAGAAACTGAGGCCGTGGAAGTCGTTGCTTGCCCAAGGTCAGACGGCAAGATCATCACTTCGGAAGTTACTTTCAGAAGGCAAGGTGCACATTCACTGGCCAGGAGACTGCTGGAAAGTTCCAGTCTGCTCTTTCAAGGCCTCTCTTGACAGAGGGATTTAGAAAACTGTGAAGCCAGGCACTGGCCACCCTCATAAAGTGACAAGTCACCTAAAACTGTTTTCCTGCAGAGCTGTCAGGAGCATGATATCTAAGGGGTGTCTTCGAAGTGCAGTAAAAATGTCTTGATTGGAGAAGGAGGCAATAAACTTTCTTTAAAACTAAAGAAGAGACAGTTTGGAAAGAACCTGGGGTCATTGGCCTTGTGTTTGAGAATGAGTTGGAATGTAGCAAAGGGAAAAAGATGCCCTTTGGCCTGCACATAAAGATGCAGTAATTAGGGCAGGAGCATTTGGATCTAGTGCATCTGTGCCTTGGATAACGTGCCTTCATGTTACAAGGTGCAAAGATAGCAGATTTCAATTCCTCTAGGACTCTTGCTTTAATGGCGTATTATGAGCAAAATTAAAGTGTATTATTAAATGTGTCCTGAAATAGGCTGGATGCACAGTGTACAGTCAGTTTTAATGTTCATGGCATAAGTATCATGAGTTAAATTTAGAGTTGGGAAATTATCAGATATTCTGACCTCAATTTGAACTAAAGGCAAGTCATTGACCTCTGAGACTGAGTTTTCCTGTCTGTGAAGAGTTAATGACATACACTTGAAACACGGGTTGAGGTGAATCACAGCAAGACTGTATAAAACCCCAAAAGAGTAATCGGCTAATGTCTTCCTAGTACCCAAGCTTACTTCCTGACAGTACATCACAGTATTATTCCAAACCAGGACCCCCAGTGGCTAGACAGGGTTAACGTGTCATTCCTGCCCCATGAACCCTAGACTTACTGGCAAGTGATTTGCAGCATAACCCAAAACCTGATGTATGAATAATATTTGAAGGACAGTGTCATAAATTTACACTTTTTAAAAATAAGAGTTGTAATTATATGTGTGTAAATGTGAATGACTGCCTTAAACGTAAGCTCATGTTCTCTCTCTGATTCTGTATAGTGTTGCCTTGAGAACCATTATATCTGGAAATGTGGAGCAAAAAAGTCAAATAAGAGCTCTCGGAAGACTGTATGTTTTAGATCTTTTATCAGCAAGATCTCTGGGACAGCTAGTGGAGAAATCAAACAGGGAGGCAGCAGGCCAGTGATCGCCGTAATAGTTTAAACTTAGACCAGTAAAACGGAGCTATTTTACAAAAAACTGTGGCATTCTAAATCGTTGAAAGTTACGTTTCATTATTTGGGAGTGGTAATTAGCTAGACAATGTATGATTAAAGTATTATGAAACTAACGGATCTGACAGTTCTCTTTGCAAAGAAGGAGGCAAGAGCCATGCTTTTTTGTGTGCAGAGGAAGACTTCATCGCATATTCTTTACGTGTTCAAAATGATTCCTTGCTATTGATACTTGTTCTAAGTTTTCCCCACATAAATTACAGTAGCATTGTGAGGCTAGTTGTGAAATTAAGCCATACTTTATGGAGCTGCCCTTAGTGGTGATGTAAAATAATCTTTAGAGTCTCTTGTGTTACTGAGTACAGATCATAGGCAGCTTCAAATAAGTGGGCAGCTACATCAGAAAGCATGACGCTGGAGAGAAAGGTTTCCTTCCGACCAAGGTAGAACCTGAAATGTCCAGATATATTGGAAACATGAAATGTATCCAGCGTAACTTCCACTGCTATCTGCCACACAGAACAACCACACTGTTTATATTGTCACTTCTGAAGAGTAATAGTGAGGAGATCCTGAGGAGAGAGGATATGATAAGCCATTGCCCAAATTACAGAGCCCCAGGCCTATTCCATCTAATCAGGAGAAAGAGCTTTAGGCGAGGATGTCCTCACTCTCTCAAGAGATATATTTTGAGTCCTCACTATAGGCAAATAGGTATGGGCTCTGAACAGGGTGGCTAATGAACAAGACCGAGTTCCTTTACCGTCGAGAAGCCCCTGCAGGTACAGAGCACCCGAGCATCAGGGATGTGGGAACTGTGCTGGTCCCTGAGATGAGAACAGCTGTGGTTCAAGGGAAGACCAGACCGCTAGCATCGTTGTACTCTGAGAGGAGGTGGCATTCGGCTGGCACTGGAGGGATCAGTACAGTGTCGGTAGGTCCGGATGCTGAGAAGGACATTCCAGGAGGAAGGAAGGGCTTGTCCTTCCCCCACTCCGGCCTGAGAATGTGTCCGAGATTCCTCAGGACTCAGCCCAGATGACTCCTTCTCTCCAGAGCATTCCGTTCCACACAAGAGTGAGGACTCACACCCTTTCCTACTTTCCTTCCACTGTGCCCAGGAACTAAGTCAGTGTCTTGTCACACTACATGGCAGTTACTGGCATATGTGTCTGTGTCCCCTTGACCTTGTTCATTAGCCACCCTGTTCAGAGTCTAGTACCTATTTGCCTGTAGTGAGTACTCAAAATATATCTCTTGAGAGAGTGACCATATCCTCTGGTATAGCTGAAGGTATTAATTCTTATTTCAGTATCCCAGGTATCAGCTTCCAGACCCTTCAGCCTGCTGGGGACACTCTTTTTTTAGGATTTGGGGGTGGGGAGAAGCTGCTTAAATTCCTGTTCCCATCCAGCAGGAAACCCCATGTCTCCCCAGTAGCTCTGAGAATCACCTGGCTCCAGTGAAACTCCGAATGCCCTGCAGCCTCCATTTCCTACGTTCCACAGCAAATAAGATGTTCTATAACTGCAGGTGTTCAGCGGAGGGGTTATGTCTTGGTTAAGAAACCACTTTAAAGCCACATCGTGGACAGGCCTGTTCTCGAAGCTTCCTGGTCATTGTTTCTTGCAGAACACTGGTTCCTCTGGGAGGGGATGGAGTTCTTCTCCCTCTGCACCTGCCCAGCTGCCCTGAGCAGCCCTTGTCACCTTTATGCAAAGCAGTCCAGCCCTTTCCGCCATCCTTCCTCCCTAGCCAGGGCAAGGAAGGGGCAAGAGGCCTGGCTACCACCCGTGCCCACAGGAGCCATCAAGGTGGTCTTTTTGTAAGAGACTGAGTGAGCCCAGTAGGCCCCCTCTGACCTGGCTTTTGAACTAACCTCCCCACCCCACCCCCCACCACATGGGGTGCCCAGGACCCAGGCATTCAATGAATTCCTCTTCAGGGAGTTTTCTAAATGTGCAGAAGTGGGGAGTCTTCAGCCTATGCCTGATTCCTGGTTAATCTGACTTTTCCTGAATGCAGGATATAGGTGGAAAAAAATGGGAAATAAACCTGGAAAAGGAGGTTGGGATCATATTGAAAGATACTGGGCTGGGCATAGTGGCTCATGACTGTAATTTCAGCACTTTGGGAGGCCAAAGTGGGTGGATTGCTTGAGCCCAGGAGTTTGAGACCAGCCCGGGCAACATGGCAAAAATCCATCTCTAAAAAAAACATAACACAATTTAGCTACGTGCCGTGGCATGAACCTGTAGTCCCGGCTGCTTGGGAGGCTGCAGTGAGCCATGATCGTGCCACTGCACTCCAGCCTAGGTGACAGAGCCAGACCCTGTCTCAAAACACAGTGGTCAGATATTGGAGGTCAGGGTGAGAGTTTGGCTTTTATTTGGCAAGTAATGGAGGGTCCTGACTAAGGGACTGTCACAGAAAAGCCCTAGGTGGAATGAGCACGGACCCCAGAGCAGGGGAGGGCTGGTCTGTGAAGCGGGAGGATGCTGTCATCCTCCAAGGACACGGGAACTGAGGGCTTGGGCCACAGCAGTGATGCAGAAGAGGTGCAAGGAAAGCCTGGGTGCCAGAGGTACTGGAAGTGGCAAAATAGAGAAGAAGGAGCTAAAGGTGGCTAAGATTTTAAATCTCAAGGATGGGAGTGAGTGAGAGGAATGGTAACAGTGCAACAGGAAAAGAACAATTGCATTTAGTTGGGGGGAGATACATTGACTTCAGTTTTAAACATCCCTTGAGGCATTCTGCAAATACCGATCGAGTGCCTCTGCGTGCCAGGCACAGTGCCAGGTCCTGAAGACAGAGGTCCATATAGTGCACTCAGCACTGATGTTCTAGGGAGGCAGACGACAGGGTAGTGGGTGGATTGGCAAAATAACCACAGATTGTTAACAAGTCCTCAGAGAAATGAGAGGGACACTGTGCTAGAGAGAAGCGAAGTTGCATGTGGAGACTTCTCACAGGAGATGCTTGCTGTAGACAGGGTGACGCTGCGGTGGCCATGGGCACTGGCTGCAGTTGTCAGGCTGGAAAGAAGAATGCAGCCCTGGAATCCAGGAGAAAGGCAAAGGCTGAAGATAGAGTGATGTCCTCACATAGAGGCCATAGTTGAAGTTGTCTGCAGAAAGGGGCCCGCCCCAGGAGAGCCTGCAGAAAGCAGAGACACTAAAGCCAAGGTTGGACCCGGAGAGTGGGAGGAAAAGAGCAAGTGAGGCAAGGCAAGGACAGCACAGGGAACACCAGGCGAGGGCTCCGGACCTCCAGGAGGACAGGGTGAGCGTCCCCGGGCACTCGAGCATGCCGTGCACATGCCATCATGGGGGTAGAAGGCGCCATTTGCACAGTGATTGAAAAGTGCCTTCTGCCATCAAGACAGCATCCGTGGGATATTTTAGCGCTGATGGGTGCAGGAAGCTATGCTAGGCACAGCACGGGTGACTGAAAATGGGCACCATAGATTCTCTGCCCATGGGGGGCTTGCATTCAGTTTGGGGAAGGAAGTGTGCTGGATGACAGGGTATAAGAATCAAGCAGGCTGGGCGCGGTGGCTCATGCCTGTAATCCCAGCACTTTGGGAGGCCGAGGTGGGTGAATTACGAGGTCAGGAGTTCGAGACCAGCCTGACCAGCATGGTGAAACGCCGTCTCTACTAAAAATACAAAAATTAGCTGGGCGTGGTGGCACATGCCTGTAATCCCAGCTACTCATGAGGCTGAGGCAAGAGAATCGCTTGAACCTGGGAGGTGGAGGTTGCAGTGAGCCAGGATCACGCCACTGCACTCCAGGCTGGGCGACAAAGCAAGACTCCGTCTCGTTTAAAAAAAAAAAAAAAAAAAGGACCAGAGTCTGAATCTCATCCTGATACACCCCACTTCCTAACCTCGTGACTCTGGGCAAGTTACTCACTAAGCCTCAGCTTCCTCATCTGCAGAATGTAGGTGCTGGCCAGGCCCTGAGAGCCAAAGCTGTCAGAGCTTGCAGTGGGTGCAAGGCTCACAGTACAGGTGCAAGAAACGGCAGTGGGGGTGGCCGTGAACCCTGGCTCTGTGGTCACCAGAAAACCTCACAGTCCCTCCTCTTCGCCATAAATCAGGGACCTTGGGATCTCCTTCCTGGGCGGGCAGCAGGGATTAGAGCAGCTCCCTGTGGGACGGTACCTGGCTCCTCCCGACAGGAGATGCTGAGAAATGTTGGCTGACTTAGAGCACAAATTTGGTCTTCTAAAGTGGAGAGAATTTCAGCTGGGGAACTTGGGAAGGGAGGAAAAAGTGCAAGGTGGTGAGAAAGGCAGGAGCAAAGTGCAGGCAGCAGCAAAGTTTTGAGCCTGTGGGGAGTGCAGCCTAGCGGCTCATATGCAGCCTATTTATGGCAATGGTGAGACGCCAACAGGAAGGCAGGAAGGCTCTGGCTGTGTTGAGGGCAGGTTTGGATGCCCAGCAGAGGGCTTCCAGGTGGCAATCTGCAGTCCACCTGACAGGCCCTAGTCACAGCTGCAGTGCCATCCGCTATCGTTCACACGTTCGCTCGGGTGGAATCAGGGGTCTCCCCTGGCGGTGGAGGGCCCTCCCCGCGTGGGTCCCTGGAGGAAGAGTGGATCCTCATACTGGTGGCTGCAGGCTACTAGTATCTGCAGGCTGAGGTGCCGTGCTGACCTACCTCAGACCGGGGGTTCCTTGCCAGAAGAGCAGGCCGAGGACACGGGGCAATGTCAGTCACAGCGCTGGGCCCTGGGGCTCAGAGGGGAGGTGTCTGGGGACAACGGGGGCTGGGTAAGGGCCGTCCGCCCTGGGAGCCTTGTCAGCTGAGGAGTCAGGCTTGGCCTCTAGAGAGGGCCCACCTGCAGGGTGCTTTGCTCCTTTGTTTCCTCTCAGGGTTTTTAAAAGGACTTTTTTTTTAGAGGGGAGGGGAGCTGGGAAGAGACTTTCAACTTTTTTTAATTTTTAAACAATTTTATTGAGGTATAATTCACACATCATACAGTTCACCCACTTAAAGTATATGATCAATGGGTTTTAGTCTGCTCAGTGTGCAGCCATCACCACAATCAACTCTAGGGCATTTTCATCACCGGAGGCAAAAACTCCATAACCATTAGCAGTCCCCAGTGTCCCCCCCACCGTGGCCCAGGTGGTCACCTCTCCACCCCTGTCTCTATGCATCTGCTGATTCTGAACTTCCGCTGTCCCCACCTAGCTATAGGTGTGTATCCTTTGACCAGCATCCCCACAACTGCCTAAGGCCCTGGTAACCACATCCTACTCTACTAAAAGGACTCTCGAAGGCTCTCCTTGCCTCATTTATGCCATGGGAGCCGAGGAAGGCATGAGCACCTTGACAGCCACCTGGAGATGAGCACAGTTGCAGCAACAGAGCCTCGGGGGCTCAGCTGCCCCGTGGGCAGTCAGGGTTCGTTTTCAGGAAGGCGTAAGGAAATTGCATTTCCTTACAATGCCTGTGTGTCCTGCCAAATGGGCTGGGTCTCAGGGACACCAAGCTGAGTGAGATGCTGTCCCTGCCCCCCACACTTGTCTGGTCTGGTGAATCAATCCTCAGACACCTTCTATGAGGGCACCCTTGGAGATTCCGGCACATCTCACCTGGCTGAGGACCTCACCAAGCTCCACTTTTCACAAACTCCACAGGATGTGTTGAGAATCACCAGTTTCTCTGGGGAGACTCAGGGGAAGAGACTCAGGATAAGAAAATAAAAGGAAGTATGGACCGGCTCTGCAGGATGCCCCCCTCGTCAGCAGATCCCTCATGATGTGGTTGTGTTAACTCTGCTAAGACCAGGGCTGTTTAAAAGCCCCCAAAGATTCTCTGTGAAGAGCTATTTTAAAATAGGGGAAAAAACTCAGTGAGGAAGGGGACTCCATAAGGAGTAAAGGGAAGGGGCTTCGTGGGGCCCGGCTTTAGGAGCAGAGATCCGAGGCCCATCCTGATCTTCCTGTTGGACTTGGAGAGACAGACCGTCCAGGCCCAGCTTGCCTGTCGCCCACATGGGACCAGCACAGCTGCCCACCTGTGCTATTCACAAAGACACAAGAAGCCATCATGAAGCAGGCTTTATAAAGTCAAAATATTACTCCACGTCTGTTATGCATAAGGACTCAGGACGATGGTCACCATGGAACCCCGTTCTCCAACCTAGAGGACAAAGACCAGGTTGACCTTCACCTTAGGGGGAAGGTGGAGATTTTGAAGGAGAAATTTATTTTCTCCCTGACAAAACCAAAATTTTCAGACAAATCTGAGCAACAGTTATAGAACCTTTGGGGTAGGTTTAAAGACGGAAACTGGCCGGGTGTGGTGGCTCACGCCTGTAATCCCAGCATTTTGGGAGGCCGAGGTGGGCCGATCATTTGAGGTCAGGAGTTTGAGACTAGCCTGACCAACATGGTGAAACCCTGTCTCTACTAAAGACACAAAAATATTAGCCGGGCGTGGTGGCACATTCCTGTAGTCCCAGCTGCTTGGGAACCTGAGGCAGGAGAATCTCTTGAACCTGGGAGGTGGAGGTTGCAGTGAGCCGAGATCACACCACTGCACTCCAGCCTGGGCGATAGAGTGAGACTCTATTTTTTTCTTAAAAAAAAAAAAAAAAAAAAAAAAAGATGGAAACTGCCCAGATTTCAAGAGAATTGAGGCTTGCTGCGCTCCCCTTAGTTTCTGAAGAGCAGGGTTCCAAGTGAGCGAGGACAGGATGAAAAGGAGAGTGCTACGCAGGGCGATCTTTCTGAGCCAGGGGCCAGTAGGAAAGGACAGGGGCATCCTGAAGGAGCAGGTGAAACGAGGGCCTTCTTCGGGGTTCTGAGAACTTCCTAGTGTGCTTCCACTGTTTGGGACAAAAGAAGTGTGCCGAGTTGTTGGGGTATTTCCGCTTCACCTTTCATGAAGGTAAGTCAGAGAGATGCGTGGGGGAGCCCCAGGGCAGACCCCAAATATCCAACAGGAGGCTGACCAATATTTAAAAACCTGACTTTCAATTAATTAAATCCTGAAGAAGGAAAGGGAGAGAGAAGAGGGATAGAAAAGAGAGAGAGAGAGAGAGAGAGAGAGAGAAATCATCCGAGAGACGCGAGCTGTACGCGCCTGACTGCTGGAGGTAATGCCTTGAGCAGCAGAATGGAGCGCTCCTGTCTGGGCTGCTCAGGGCCTCTCCACGGGACCTTCTGTGCCTGCTCCATGCTCCGCCCTTCCCCAGTGCTAAGCACTGAGTCACCTGATAAAGATCGCAGTGGCCCTTCAGGTTCTGCCACAGGCTGGGGTCAGGCAGGCACTTGCCAGGTGCACGGCACCCTGACCTTCCACAAGGTATTTCCCTCCTTTGACAGGAAGAAGATAAAGCTTTTTTCCTGTCCATTCTGAGACGCAGGCTGTGCTGCTCCATGGCACTTTCTGAGTGCCACCAGCTGGCAGGGCATATTTCTCTCCATTTATCTTCACTAACGTGACAGTGACATAGATTGTCCCTGAGGAACACAAGACTAGCCCCTGAATTACATCCTTCAGGACCTCCAGGGTGCACAGGAATGGATGAGGACCTCACTGAGCCCCAGAAGCCCCTGAATGACAGCATGTCTCAGGATGTCCCAAAATGAGTCCAGTCCAATCTCCAGCATGTGAGTAGCCACCAGTTTCCCCAAGGGAACTCCTAAGACCATCTGCAGGCAAAGGGTCTAATGAGCACCCAGAGGAAGAAATATATACAGGGATCTTTCCTGAGGAAGCCAGAAATAATTCTCACAGCTGTGGAGCCAACGCCACCTGTAACAGCTTCCCTGACCCCAGCCCCATGGGGTCACTCTGGACTTCAGGGTTTCTAACCAGCCGGCCCTTCAGGGCCCTAGCCCAGCCTGCTCCCTCCACCTCAAGCTTTACCCAGGGCAGCCCCCACTGTCAATCATAACTCTGCCTAAACAGTACCGTGTTGGCATTCGTGACCCCCCCCATTACCCAATTTTCTTTTTATCAGAGGCCTTGTAACCACCTGATTGTTTCCTTGATTGCCTGTTTACTGACAGTGCCCCCACAGTAGAACATGAGCTCCCCGTGTGTCTGGTTGGCTGCTGTGTCGGCAGCCCTGGGCCTGCGCTGTGGGGATGCAAGGGCACATTCCATGTGCTCTGGAACCACACCTGAGACAGCCTGCCCTGCTGTTTATAAGAAATGTATTCTCTCCAAAACGGGCACCTAGAAGGCACAGCCACATCCAGCATGTTCCACGGGCATGGGATAGCCTCAGAGAGCCGCTCAGCAGAGAGGTCAGGGAGGTTCAAGGCTGGGGAGTGGCCAACACTTAAAGAGGGACCTGAGGCAGGAGGAGAGCGAGCATACGTGGAAGGCCTTACCCCGTGACAGGTGCATAACACACCTGCAGGTGTGGCATGCCTGAGGATGAGGACACCAAGCCACCTCAAACGTGGTGAATCTAGTGTCAACCTAAGTCTCTGTGACCCTAAATCCCATGTGCTTCTCCACGGGCACAGTTTCAGTGAAGAAGAGGAAGCATATTCCAGGCTGTCGGGAACCAACTGCATGAGGAGGGCAGCAGATTGCTAGAACTGAAGAGTGATGTGGGGGAGCCTTGGGCAACAGTGCTGCCGAGCTGGTGCCATGGACTGGTACATCCTTCTGGGGTCTAACTGCATCCCCTGGGCCCCAGTAGAGCCGTCACTGACTGTGCAGTGGCAGGAGCTGCTGTCTGTCGGGCACTTACCCAACATCAGGCACTGATTTTATCTCTGATCTTTAGCATTGGTCGATATCATTCAACAGGCTTATACATCATGGAACCTAGGCCCAGTGAGGTTCAGGGCATCCAGGAAGTAAGTGGCAGAACTGGAATTCAGCTTGGATCTGTGTTTTCATTTTGTTTTGTTTTGTTTTGAGACAAGGTCTGGCTCTATCACCCAGGCTGGAGTGCAGTGGTATGATCTTGGCTCACTGCAGCCTCTGTCTCCCGGACTCAAGCCATCCTCCTACCTCAGCTTCCCAAGTAGCTGAGCCTACAGGCATGCACCACCACACCCGGCTGGTTTTTGTAGAGATGGGCTTTCACCATATTGCCCAGGCTAATCTCGAACTTGTGAGCTCAAGCAATCCACCTGCCTTGGCCTCCCAGGTGCTGGGATTACAGGCATGAGCCACCGTGCCCGGCCTCAGCTTGGATCTGACTCCAAAGCTCATGCTCAGCTGGCGATGACTGCTTTGCACCTGGGGGGTCCACATTCAGCAAACGAGAGAGTTCCACTTGGCCCCCAGCCGTACTAAACGGGGCAGTTCTGGGAGGTTCTCTAACACCACTGGGTCCTTGAACAGCTGTCTGCATCTGGACTGTTAGCCTTGCACTTCGTCTCCCTACCTTCTGCTCGTTCCTCACAACCCAGCTCAGGGAATATCTTCTCTGGGAAGTATTTCCCAAGAGCCCTCACTTCACTGGCCTGTGAGCGCCTCCTGCGTCCCACTGTGAAGGTAGCTTAATCCTTCCACTTCCCCCAGTGGGAAAATGCTAGGCACGTCACCCAGTATCTGTTTCTGCAAGTGCCTCAGTGGCATCCTTAACATGGTGCGTTGTGGAGGCCACCACACAGCCCTCTCTCCTCCGCTCCTGCTCCTCTTCAAGCCTGAGCCCTCTCCCCGTATCCACAGGCACCCACCTCCTTATCTGCTAGCCTGCCCTTGTTGCCTGCCGCAGACACAGGTACCTGTCGGAGATCACCATCTATGTCAGTCTCCATCACTGACCTTGAGCTTCTGGGCTGACTGCATGTATGAACGAATGTTGGCCAGGATGGAATAAGAAGATTTCAAGGTGTCTCTTTCTTTCTGCACTCTCACTATCCAGACTCATGAGCTAAGTAGTTGTAGATAAAGTCTTTATGTACCTCCAGACTCACTCTACTCATGCAGGTCCCATTGACCTGAAAACATGGTCTCCCTCAGTCTCCACACCCTAAGGAATATTTGTGTTTCTGTTAGTAGTCATGGTGGTAGCATTAATAAGACCCAGAGAGTTCTTTCTAATTCTGTGACTTGGGTTCCTTTCATAGAAAAGAGTGCTCTGAAGGGAACAGATACCAAGCAAAGGTCCCTTGGTAGTATCCCAAACCCCAGAGTTCCCATGTCAGGTGGCTCTGAGTGTTCCTTGCCATCCTCAAAGGCAATACTTCCTTGAATAATGCCCCCCAGAGCCCAGTCCTGCCTGAGGAAGTCTGGGAGTCTCACGGCCTCATAGTGTCGGGGGTTGGGGGGGTGGGGCATAGAATGAATCCATGGGCACACAGCCAGTGGCCTGTGTTTAAGCTGCTCATAAGTATAAAGTTCAGGATCATGGCCATCCTGCTGGCACTCGAGGAGCTGATCAGTGTTTTCGAGAAAGCTACGTTAATTAACCAAATCAAAGATGCTTTTTCTTCAGCCAGGGTTCCCTCTGTGAAACCATTCATCTCCAGCTGGAGAAAAGCAGTGGAATTTTTGTTTTGCTCTAAACCCAGGGCGGCATCAGGCTTTTTTAGTGTGGGGCTTTGACATGAAGAGACCATGCTCATTTCTGCCTGGTGTCTCTCATGCCCCCCACCTTTGTTTCTAACTCTTAGGTTCCATTCCTGTCTCTGCTCTAATCTAATCTGGACCCCTGTAGCGCAGAAGCACATTCTCTCTCTTCTGTCCGTGTTGTTGGCAAATGCTTTCTTTACACACCTCAGCCTCTACCTGGTGGTGAACGCATGGCTTTGCATTTATTGTTACCAAGTGTCAGCACACATAACTAAAGAGAGAAGACCCTCAGGGGAGGTGGTCTAGGTTAATGGGCTAGTAACCTAGTCTTTGGAGTCAGATAAGCCTGGGTTTGAATCCAGGATCCACCTCGAGTGGCACACGGCAAGTTACCCACTTACCAGCACCGCCGTTTCCTTGCCTACCTCGTAGGACTGTTAGAAGGCTGAAGGACAGGGGGCATGTTGCTGCTGGTCTAAGGGCCCTCGGGGAACCCTTGTCTAAACTGGTAAAAAACCCATTCTGAACAGCCAGTGCAGGGACTGACTGGCCCACTGCAGAGGGAACTCCCCTTGGGAGCCTTCTGCATGGAGGCCTCTGTCCCCACAACAGTCTGCAGTAGGTCAGGCATTTGGTTATGATCTGTGCTGGTGCGGAACGTGCTTCCCCTTGTGCCATTATTTATGTGTGATGCAAGTGCTTCAGTGACCTGCTCCACCCAGGGCAATAAGGTGCCACAAGTGTCCGCTTTATAGCCACGAGAGAGCATAAGCACCCAGAGAGCCTGACTTGGCACAGGTGACAGCTCCCCGGAAGTCCAGCCGTGCCTTCACGGGGGAGAGTTTGAAGCAGTAGTTTCCTCGGGGCCTTGTTCAGCACACCAGAACTGAGTCAGACCTCTGCCCTCCAGGCCACCTGCCTCCTCACAAGTGCTGTCTGCGGGGCCGGCCGGGAAGCACATGCCCAGCTGCGGGGCTCCTGGGCCTGGAGAGATGCCTGGAAAGGCCTTACTGGGCAGAGGTGCAGGGAGACCAGGGCCAAGGGAGGCCTCTCCACCCTTTGCCACCTGACAATCTGCTGAGTCACCCAGCTCCCCCAGACACCTGGCTTGACTCAGACTCAGTGCAGACAACGAGCCAGATGGAGCCCAGCTGGGACACCTTCAGTCCTACCACTCTGCTGCCACAGCTGCCTGGAGCCATGCCTGGCGCTGGGCTAGGAGGCACAGTGCGGGGTCCCCAAGGCAAGAAGCAGTCTCAAGGTGTTATGCGAGCACCAGCAGGCCTGGCAGAATGGCAAGCAGTAGCTTGGAGAGGGGCCGTTAGAGTTCTTCCGGTCCCAGCGATCCCCCGTGTGCAGGTGAGGCAAGCCCAGGTTCAGAGCTTGTGCTACAGGGCCAGGCCTAGGCCTCACCTCTCCTCCCTGCTGCCTTCCACGCCATTCCCATTCCTGCACAGAACCTTGGGCAGGTGAGGCATGGGCAGACCTTCCGGGGCCCACTGGTACGGGTAAGAATCAAACTTGCAAGGACATAACCGTAGCGTGGTAAGGGCTGCCTGTGTGGCAGCCAGTGCCCCCAATCCTAGGCTCATGGTGTCAGGCTAGGCCCTGAGCTCTCCATCCTGGGGGCTCATCCCTCCATGGGAGCCCGTTCCTCCATGGGGGCCGCATCAGCACCAACCTTCCAGGCACCTTCAGGACGGCCAGAGAGGTGTTGGTGGCTGTGTTCTCACATGAGTCTCTTGATCATCTTGTGAGTGATCTTCATGCTGCACGCTTCCTTGTATAACAGTTAAATGAAGTGAAAGTAACTTTGAATTGAGTCCAAGGGTTGATTTTTGCCCAACTTCAGCCTCAGGCTAGCCCTTTGTCAGCCCTGGCTCAATCTTTATATTGTCTGTCTTCTCCAAACTCAGGAATCCCAAGACCTTCAGAGTGGGCATTACTTTGCAAAGATGGGCCTACTTTCTACGCCAACAGGCTTTTTAGAATTGATGTGGCCAGATTTCTAGAACTATCCCACACTCTAGGCCACCCTTGTCCCTCTTTCCTGTGTTTATTTGGAGAGCATGTTGTGCACATCAAAGAAGAGGTTCCTGCTGGTGGTTTCATCAAATTACTGAGCAAGAGAAGCACCGAAGAGATGCAGACATTCCTGGAACAGATTCCTCGTGGCACGCGGATCTCATCCCTTTATTTCTATTTCCGCTGACATTCTGGGAATGTCTCTTTTCTGTCGTCTCCTAGTCCTCTTTGTGATGAGGAGGGCTGCCACGGTGGCAGGTTACTCTGGAAATGCGACGTAGGAAAAGTGCCTTGTGAGGAAAGGGCTCTAACCAAACAGTAGTGTCCTAAAGATAGCCCCAGCTGAGAGCAGAGAAGAGCAGCTCCCAGACGCAGTGCTGGAGGTGCCGAGGCTGGGCCCTGCTTGCCTGGAGTGGCTGTGGGTTATGTACAAGGCTGTAATCAGTAATTTCTCACATTTGGATAGAGCTGTCTTTTCCAAAGCGCCTTCACATCCACCGCAGTATCATTTTAGGCAAGTTGGCAGAGTATGAACCAGGCTCTCGTTTGCATCTGCAGACTTGAGGGCCACACCCCCCGGTGGGCTTTGCACAGCACAGACCCTCAGCCTTGTCAGTGAGGCTGGCCCCGACGGCAAACAAAGCACCTGCCAAGGGTCGCCGCACAGTGTCGCCCTCGGAGTCCCCACCAAAGCTCCCATCAAAGTCAGCCTGATTATTTTCCACTGCATTTTCCTGAAAGGATGTTATGATTTTCTAGATGTTTGGTGGCCGGCGATAAATCAGGCTTTTATGATGTCATGTGAAAGGCCCCCTCTCGGACTTCCTCCTGCTGCAGCCGGAGGATGAAAGTGGGCCATGTTGGTTGCGCAGTGGACACAGCTTGCCTTAACCCTTTCCTCGCCTGTCCCGTGGACCAGGGTCACGGAAGAAGACAAGCTGTTTCCCCTCAGCCTGCCTTTCACAGGAGCATAGCCAGGACATGTGAAACGGAGCCCCTTTCCCAGAGCTAAGCAGACTTGCTCAGCAGAGAGGCTTTGGCCTCAAATCAGGATCAAAACAAGAAGGCGTGCTCCATGGAATGATATGAGAGATCACAGGTGATTCTCTAGAAGTAATCTTTTGGAAGAGTCCCTGTTCTCTAATCTTGAAATCGTGAAAAAGGAGATGACACGTAATGCTGGCAGGGCTGTGGTGAGAGGCACACGCAGACTCCACTAGGAGAACTTCGCTTCTGGCATTGTTGATTCGTAGAATGTCTTTGAAAGCAATAAAAACGTTCTCATTCAGATGAAAATCCTAGGAGTTCTCTGTCAGTCCTCTTTCCCCCACCACCGCCTCCAACCCCAGGGAGGCCTTTTCTGCTCTTTCTCCAAGATCATCTCAAGTTCACCCACGCCTTTCCGTCGCTATGTCCCCTCCCCACCCCTCGTGTCCAGGCCACCATCGTCTCTCACCACATCTGTGACTGGAGTCTCTTAGCTGGTCTCTCCCCTGCTCTTGCCCCTCTTTCTAACCCACAGGCAGCATCTGCAGGCATCTTTGAACTCATGCATCGCAGCATATGCCCCCAGCACTTAAAACCCCACTGTGGCTCTAAGCAAAGCCCAGACTCCATATTGGATGTGCTGGGCCGGTAAAGGATGGAGTTCAAAGTGAGCGGGTTCTCACTGTAAACGAGTGGACTTTTACATAGTGCACATGGACACAGAGAGACACACCCAGAGAGAGACAGAGAAAAACACATACACACAAGAGTATGGTAAAAATGTTTTCAAAACACAGACAGGTTTCAGTGCTGTGCCTCATCCTCTTGAGAGCTACTGGGAAAGGAGAAGGCCTTTAACCAGCAAGGGGAGCTCAGGGTCACAGCTTCACTTCAGGCAGGAGGAAATGAAGGGTGGAGCGGCATCTCAGTAGCCTTCAGAGGCTGAGCGTGTCCTCATTTGGCCAGAAGAGGGACAGCCCTATCACAGCACACCCTAGCAGGTGCTGGAATAGGATGGCCAGGTTACTGCCTCTGGTGATCCCTAGTCTCCATGTCTTTCAGGGCCAGCTGGGTGCAGTCCCGCTGCAGTGGCCAGCACCTGAGTCGCCAGGTGCTTTTAGGTTAGGTGGACCAAGCACATCAAAGAGTGGCAGATTTTCCAGGGGAAGAGGGATTATGTATTAGAGTTGGGCCATGCAGGGCAAGAACGACTCGTCCACCTTTTTAAAAAGACACACAGCTAAATGACAGTTTATAGTCAGTTCCATACTTTCAAAAATTGGCACCAGAAAGTCAGAATTGTAAGCTCCATCAGGTTGAGGTAGCCAGCTTTCCAACCTCCAGCCACAGCCTGCAGGCGGTAGATACTCCAAGGCAGTCACTGTGACCAGACAGCAGAGCCTTGTGACCACGTGGCTTTGCTGGGAAAGGCCTGGGCTCCATGGCAGAAACCACCCGGGAGGCCAACAGTGCCTGCCTCTGTGTCCCTCCCAGCCTCGTGGTCATGGGCTCCTCTCCCCGTCACTCCCCATGCCCAGTCACAGCAGCCTTCTCTCCGGGGTTCCCTTAAGGCCTTTTTACCTGCAGTGTCCCCAAGAGACCCTCACACCCCAGATCTTTCTGTGACCGGCCCGTGCACATTGTGCAGATCTCTGATCCAGTGACCTCTGTGGAAGGCCTTCCCCGCCCAGCCAGTACAGAGTGCCCTCCCGCCCTCCAACAAGCCAGCCCCCTCTGCAGTCGCTCCCTCGCACTCCCATCAGCCGAAACTCAGGTCTCCGCCAACTCTTGTGCTGCCAGACCCTAGAACATGGGCTTCATGACAGCCACGGCCTTCTCTTGTCCACGTTTGCTTCTCCAAGGCTTAAAGCAGTAAATATGTGGCAACAAGCAAGCAAGAGACTGTGAAATGTTTGCAGAAATTGAGGGACAGCAGAGTACAAAATCTTCTACACTCTGTTACAGCTATTCAGAAAATGATTATCTAAAATTAGAGGAAGGGTTGGGGTGCAGGGTAAAAGTTGCATGTAAGTATCAAAGAAAAACTATAAAACAGCCCACTTAAAAATATTACATCTTCATCCATGATGTTACTGCAAGAAATGAAAAGAATCGTTTTTCCTACATTTTAGTGATAAATAATAGCCTCAATGGAAAGCCTGTATAGGATGAATTAGAAATGGTTCTAGCTGTTAAAAGCAGCTGTGCAATTTTGAATTCTCACACAACTTTGCAAGCCTTGCTGTCCCCGTTTTACAGATTTAAAACCTGAATCTCAGAGTTATTAAGAAAGAGTTAAGTGGTTGAGCCACGTTGTGATTCCAGGTCTCTCCAGCAATGCCGCCATGTTGGTTGTGTCCACGAATTTTTCTTCCTTTAGAGGCGAAGTCTCATTCTGTCACCTAGGCTGGAGTACAGTGGTGTAATCATAGCTCACTGCAGCCTCAAACTCCTGGGCTCAAGCAGTCCTCCCACCTCAGCCTCCCAAGTAGCTGGGACCACAGGCAAGTGCCACCACACCCAGCTAATTTTTTAAAGTTTTTTGTAGAGACAGGGTCCTGCCATACTGCCCAGGCTGGTCTCAAACTTCTGGCCTCAAGCAGTCCTCCTACCTCAGCCTCTCAAAGCACTGGGATTACAGGCATGAGCTATCATGCCTGGCCACGTTTTTGTGTTGAGATAAAATCTATATACTGTGAAATGCACAAATGTTGAACTGCAGTTTGATCTGTTCTGACAAACGCACACACTCTTGTAACCGACACTCCTATTCATATAAGGAGCATTTCCTCACTCCAGAAAGTTCCTTGGTGAACCTTCCCAGTCAGTACTCCTCCCCTGTCCTCCAGTCTCGTTTCTATAACCATGGATGCCTCTTCTGGGACCTCACATACAGCAAATCATACAATATGTACAATATGGACTCTTCTGTGTCAGTTTCCATCCAGCATTAAGTTGATATTTCTGTGTGTTGATACCATCTATTACTTAGAGACCTCTTTGCCACTCAAATTAATGTGTGTAAAGTGTATTGTTTACAACACATTCTACAGAGGGTTTTGTCCTATTGAGTGTTGTGACTGCTGGACTAGGAATGGCAGAACCTGACCACTAGATGACTTTGTGACATTCTCAAGTACTTGGCTGAAATACCTCTGCAGATACATTTCGGTATAGGACTTTGTTCCTCTCATGAAGATGTAAAGAAGGAATGCCAGGTGACCATGTAGTATAGACACCTGACAAAACCCTCTGAGCCTTCCTGTGATGATGGGTGGCCAAATGAGTGATAACAGAATTATAGTAAACCTAAAGAGTTGTCATCATGCTCATCTCCTCTCCATACCTCTCCAAAAATTTGCTAACAGATATCACAGTAATTGTCTTAATCTTTTCTCCAATATAAAAGTCCCCAGAGAAATGGCCAAAAAGCAAGAATCTGGATGTGGTCAGGTGTTTGGCTAGGCCTTGAGTTGCTTAAGAAGTGGCTGAGGGAATGAATATTTGGAGGAGCCTGTGGGTATATGTTTGATAGACCCTGTTTGAATGACCCTGTTACGTTATTTATATTTGGATTGGGGAGAAGGAGGAAGGGGAGTGAGGGAGGGAGGGAGGAAGGAAGGATTATTGAAGTGAGGTGTGTTGAATTGGAGGACTTAATATACTGTATACATTGAGAAAAACCACAAAGGAAAAAAACCCCATCTACATTGTACTGTGTAGTACTCATGTCCGAAGCAGTGGTGGTGGGGCGGAGGGGGGGACATTTCTAAGAGGTGGGTAGATTTCCTAACAAACTAGAAGGAAACAAGCTTAAGGAAAATTACCTTCCTCTTATGCAATTCAGGATCCCCTGTGGCCTAGGTAGGCATTCCTAGATGAGAAGGTGCGGGGTAAAGATAAGCCAGATGACAAGTACTTTAGCTTTTACCTCCGAGATACTTTGCTTTGCACAGAACTTTCATCTCTAGGAAAGAGGCCACCTGCAACAGATACAAAATCTCTTAAGTTGCATTTTGGATGTGATTGTTTTGTGGTTTAATTAGCTGATGTCTATAAAGCGCTTTGAGGGTAGAAAGCCCTAAGTGGCAAGAGCACAGCGGCCTTCCTCTTGTATCCAGGGTGCCACTTGCCAGCGATGTCACAAGAGTCCCTAATCGGTCCACTCAAAGGCGCTTTATCTCCTGTCCTCGGGGTTTTGCCACCTCCTTCCAGCATGGGTAAATCTTTACACCCTAGATCCAGTTATTAACAGTAACCAGTAATTTCCGACCAACATGGTGCTGGCTTTGAAGCCTGGAATGCTGAGGTCACTGACAACCTTATCTCCTTTTCATTAAATGGCCCCCGCATCACAACTATGAGTCAGCCACCCCCCATCTCAGCTCGTCAGAGTGGAGATCAGTGAACTAACCGGAACCAAGAGGGCTCTAGTTACAGTCATTAATCTAGCTTTCCCCAGGCTGATGCTACTGTAAGCACCGGATCAAGAAATAAAGCTGACAAAAAATTAACTCCACGATTGCAATTCAGATGTAGAACAGGTACAGACAGACGCAGCACCTTGTAAATAGGTATGATGCAAGATGACATCCCCAAAGTCTTATATGGTTATTTCATTTAAAGAAACCTGTTAGACACCTACCTATGAGTAGGCAGCTCCCCAAAAGCTTCCCAGCGCAGCCTCTGAGAAGTGCTTTCCTCTGCTCAGCTGGCTCAGACTGCTGCCTGGTTGAACGGGGAAGGCCTCAAAGTTGCACAGGGCTGGACAGGGCAGACAGTGGGCATGTTCCTGGGCTGGGCCCCACTCAGGAGGTGGGGAGCATGCTCCTCTGTCCCAGTCAAAGGCCAGGCAGCCAATGGGCAGGCGGACACAGCCAGGGCAACCGCCTGGTCTGGGGAAAGGAACAAGCTTTGGGGTGGCATAAACTGCATAGGCCACATGCGGTTCGTCCCATGGAGGAAAGAGGACCGCCGCACTCATCTCCACACATCTCCAGCATGTCTGCTAGAAAGGGCTTTCTCCAGAATATGTTTTAAAACTTTGTTTAAAAGGAAGTTAACTTGCTTAAATCCTGTATTTCTCCTAAATAATTATGTTGTCTGTGTAGCTTATGAGCCCTTTTTGCTTAACTACAATTCTTGTTTTATGTCAACTATGTCAACCATATTTTTAAAATATAAATGAAAAAAGATCCATTTATATGTAGGTTGCACTATACATGCCATTAAGTTCTCCTTTCCTGAAGTGAACACCTGTAACTTTTTTTACCACCCTAAGCTTTATTGACAAGTAGGCATATAATGAAGACCACGTTCTCATTTACTTTCCACGAAAGCTCTACTGTACTAGCCGGACTTTGTCGCTGGTTTCTGGGGCATGCATACGGATGGATGCATTTCTTTCCATTTGTTTAGTAGTGCTTAACAGCCGCTGATCCCAAATGACAAATTCTACCGAGATCCCATCAGAAAAGTGGGATCGGCGAGAGGGGTGGTCAGAGGATTTTAAAGTGCCCATTAGGCACCATGCAGGAGGACTGGACCGCACGTCCGGAGTCATCTAAGGAGGCTCCCAGCAGAGGTGACAGTGGCGACAGTGGGAGTGTCCAGTGGTGGTTTTATTCCAAGTCTACACCGTCGCTGATTGCCACACGGCAGCCTCCATAAGGGTGGCCACGGACGAGGCCATGGTGCAGGGCCTGCTCCTCCCTCTGCCACTTCCTCTCCACTGCCTGCACCCTCCTCGGGCCAGTGCTGACTGACTCCATTTCCCTGAGGCTGCCTGAGCATTGTTTGAGCTCTGCCTACGGACAGTCCCACCGAGTCCCGCTTCCTGAGCAGACAGGACCGCCTGCTGTTTTCTTCTCCTCTCTTATTGCCCCTTGTCATGAAAGGAGAGGTCTGACTTCCACTTCAGTTTGTGTGGATAGACAGCAGTAAGGGAACAGAGGGGAAATGTTCATTACCGCTGTTAACACCACAGCATTTCTTACTGCTCGGACATTCGCTCCCTCTTTGGGAAGGATTAAACCAAAGGATAAATTCGTGAGCATGTAAGGCTTCAAGCTACACCCAAGAAGAGATGTCGTATATTGCAAATTTTCTGGGGGATCTTTCAGAATTCATTTTTTGTTATTTCCCAGTCTTATTCTCAACTATCTGGAATCTTGACTAGGATACTCTGTGAGACTTGAGAGCTTTTTCCTGAGGCTTTTTGTTGTTGTTTAGCAGCTCTGCCTTTCTGAAAAAGAAACATTGCCCCAAGAGTCAAGCTTTCCTATTCACTCTACACTAGCAGAAAGTTGGATCAAGAACCAAATTCACTGGCATTCTTTTATTCCCTTGGAACCTGAGCTATTCCTCAATTTTGCTTTTCTAAGAAAAGTAGAAGGGAAAAAAAGAATATTAAGCGCCCCTCACAGCTCTGTATCTTAAATTCCTGAAGATATTTCGCCAAGGCTTTCATCAGTCTCGGCTTTCCTTATTAACATCCCTGTCCATACATCTTCTCCTATTTAGGGCATCAAGAGTCAATTTCTTCCAAGATGTACATTAGAAATTTAACAATAATCTGCCAAAAGATCTCATACTCTTAGAATATTTCTCCACCTAAACAGATGTTCTTTGCAAACCTTATAAGCAGACCTGTTGAGGAAATGTGGCATCCAACACCTAGTTTGAACTAAATATTAAAGTTTTCCCAAAGCAAACTCAGTGAAAAGGGGAGAAAATGAAATGAGACTGTGAACCTCAAAAAATCATCCTATGTGATACAGTCTGTTGAATAGCATTCCCCACAATGGTTTTAGAGAAAGTGATATGGAGGTGGGAGGATCCCAGGCAATAAATGTGTTAAAGAAGGATCAAAATAACATCGGGGGAAGGAATGAAAACTAACCAGTGTGATTTTAAAGCTGCGTTGTTATCTAGATGGGAGAGATCTGAGGAAAGGGACCTGTCGTTAGGGTAGAAGATAATGGCACACTATGGTCTCTCCTTTTCTGGAGTTTGCGTTAACTACTGTGGGCTCAGAAACAGGCTTAATGACTTTTCCAGCATTTGGTCTGGCGCTTTATCAGTTCACTTTAACAAGAACGTAAGCCAGGAAAGCCTAAAAAATGGCTGCAGCCAAACATGCCCTCCTCCATGCTGCTGTTTGCAGCTCTGTAAATGTATGCCTGGATGGTACAGCTAAAGGACAACTCCCGAAGGTCAAATGAATACACACAGTCCGTGAGTCAGAAATCTGGAGGGCTGTGTGGACGGAGACATTGCTCCTGCTGTTTTGCTGCTGTGAAATGCTCAGTGAAACCTAATTGAATTTGACAATTATAAATTACATATTGAAACCGTATAGTTCACCTAAGGAATAGCAATGAAAACAGTGAAGACACCAGAAGCCAGAGTTCAGGAAATGTCATATTCACATAGAAATACTTTAAATTTTTCTCAAAGCTTTATTTTCTCTTTTTTCAAGAAAAGCTCCAGACCACCCAGTTGCACTGGTGGAAGTCCTTTTGGGAAGCTGTACATAAAATCATCACTTTAATTCAGCTTTTGCCCCCATTGTCATACTAAGGCTGTAAGCATATGTATAATGAAGGAAACGAACTGTCAAAAAAGAAGAAAAGAGCACAGTAGATAAGCTCATTCTTCTCTCTTGTCCTTAGGAGCTGATTATACCCTATTGGAGGGGATTTGTGGAAGTTCAAAAATCTTTAAGAGGGAGGTAAAGATTAAAGGGACGTGTATCATGGCCCACGCTCCCCTCTCACTCCTCACAGTTCTGTATCTGAGCACAGCAGTTTGGACCCCGTTGTATGAGCATTTGCCACCACCTAATTCCTTCTCAGCCCAGAGGAAGCCTTATTTAAGGAAGGGAATCCACATCCTTGCTCTCCTTCTAGAGCTGTGTGCGCTTTCCCACACAGGCCCTCCCCACGCCACCCTTTAAGTATGTCCTGTGCCTAGAACCTTGCAGGATGAACCATTGACTATATCTTTTCTATAAATGACACAATGGGAAGAAGTAAGAAATTCCTTCAGGAACAGTTAAGTGTAAAACAAGCTGGGATGCTCGTAGTCTTTCCTTAAAAGTTGATTGGAACATAAGCTTACTGCCCAGTCCAGATGTCAGCCTAGGAACAGCTGGCATAGAGAGCCAATGTTTTGTTCTGAGGGGACCTCATCCTTTTTCTTCCCAAGGTCTCTTGGTCTAATTAAATTTCAGGGAGACAGAGCCTTGGCAGAAGGTTAAAGGAAGCAGCTAGACTGCAGTATTGGAGCTAGGCTCAAAACTAAATTGAGAAGTTTAACTGGGTGCGTCTCTGGTTTCAATGAAATACTTTTACAGTGTATGGTAGCAAGGTCTGTTTCTAAGCCTTTGAAAAACATTTTTCTTTTTCCTTAATTGTAGTTCCCTGGTTGTTTTTATATTGTGAGCTACTTGTAGAAAACTACAGGAAACATAATTACAATACAAAGCTCCATTTCCCAAGCCTACCAAGATTATTTGAAGCCAAACTGGGTTTTAGGGTTTTGCTGACTATGAGTTCACAGCCATGAAATGCATCCTATGTCGTGCTGGTTGATTTACAGCCAGTGTGATGTGATTAAACAATAACCATGTTTCTCCACACCGTCTAGCCGCTATAGGATTGAGAGAGGGGAGGGATGGGCTGCATGACTCCACATTGCACAGCTTCCTCTGGGGAAAAAGAATGAGTATCTTTGTGTGACGCTTATAGCAAAATAGAAGCCTGTAGAAATATATACAAGTTTATTTAGGGAGGGGAAAGAAAAATAAATTACTTCGTTTTTCTGCTTATATTGCTATTTCCTTGTAGCGCTATGTTAAATTGCTAATTACTACTTTTTGTATTCTACTTTTCCTGAAGAATCTGTATATGGACTTTTAGGGCCAGCAGAAATAACTTGTTTTAGTACTATTAACACTCTGGGGAGGAAACTGGTACTTCAGTGTATTGCGAAATGCAAAGCGTTTGAAAAAGTAGTGATGGATGATGAGAACGACAGCGAGAGTCGCTGCGTGTACTGCTGCAGCCCCATTGCAAGCCCACGGTGCAGACATTCAGCAGGATCCAGACAGCCTCTGCTCTAGAAGGCTCAGCAGAGAAGGTGAGCTCCAAACCCAGGGCAAAGCAGGTCCCACCCCTGCCCTCTCGACCATCATGAATCTAGAACAAATTCCCCACCTGCCAAGTTTCAGGGAAGTCTGAAGAAAATAAGCAGGAAAGGCTTTCAGTGGCAGCTTGACTGGCTGTTACTTTCACACGATGAAACTCCTTTTAGGCTGTTCTTTAATTTGTATGTAGCTGAAATAGAATGATCGAGTATTTCTCACCTTTAAAGATCGGCTATTTTCGTACGGCCTTTGCGTTCGGTTTATTTCGAGGAATCACATCTGATGTGTTATTTGACGAGTACATTTGTGTATGCAAAAGCTAAATATTTATCTCACTTCTAGCAATTATGTATCTCAAAGTCTTTTTTCTTTCTTCCCTCCTTTCTTTCCTCCCTTTCTCCTTTCCTCCTTTCTTCCTTCTTTCCTATTTTGTAATTCATCTTGAAATTCTCATCTCAACCTTCATGTCAGTCAGTCTTCACAGAGCTGTAAGAAAGACATTGGTGAGTAGGGGCTGAGAGCAGGATTAAGTTCTTCTCCGCTGGTTTTCTTTTAGCCAGCCTTCCTTCCAGGGAAGCCTCTTAAGTCGATGGAGATGAAATGCCCTTGTTTCCTCGAGTGGAGCAGTTGGGGAAAGCGGGAGGAGGAAGGCACTGCCAGAGGGGACGGTGGCGGGCAGTGCGGGGTCCTGCAGAGCTGCTGGCTGCAGCTCCGCTCGTGGAAGTACAAGTGGGTCGAGATCGGCATTTTCTTAGGAACAGAATCGAACCGAGTAGAATAGGGGTAGAATAGAATAGACCGTCTACAGCGTTCCTGGACGCTAAGCCTAAGAATTGCTTCGTGAAACTCCAGTTTCGTTTTATGAACGCGTGTGTGCGGGAGGCGACGTGAACTGACTTGACTGTGGGTACGAAAAGCCCAAAGCCACCGCCCAGGAAGAACCGCGCTTGGCTGCGGCCCGGGAAGAAACATCCACGGCCGCGTTAGAAAGAGGGTCGCACGCTGCCGCCGAGGTAGAGGGGTCCCCGAGTCCTGGGGCCTCGCGCCCCACAGCCCGAGTCCCTTCCCCGCGGGGCTGGTGGCTTTGGGTAGGACGCGCGCTTGGCGCGGCCAGCCCTGCGGCAGGAGCTGAGCGGCGCAGGGACACGGGCAGCTGGGAGGGGCGCCTGGTGATTTACTCACTTCCCTCCTAGCCAGAGAAGTGCAGCAATTCCAAACAGTTCTCATAGGAGCGTCCCTGACAACTTCATGTTATAAAAAAAAAAAAAAAAAAAAAAAAAAAGCATTAAGAGCCCAAGGGACGCCTTGGGGAGAAGAGGTGTGGAGGTAGCTGGGGGTGGATCGCGGTCACGGTCCTCACGGGTCCGCACAGCACATTCTTAACCGCGACCTAGTGATTTACGGCGCCGAGAGCCGCAACTGAACGCGCACAGCAGGGACCGAAAGCAGGGAAACCCGGAGCCTTGTGCGCCCAGAGGGAGCGGAACGGTGGGAGTTCCCGGGGCTCGGGACCTGCTGCCCCCACCCCCACGACCCACGCCTGCTTCGTCTCCCCCTCTTCTTCCCTAGGACTTTCTGCAGGGCGACTGCACCAAAGCGAAACAGAAGCTGAACTGGAAGCCCCGGGTCGCTTTCGATGTGAGTATCTCTTAGGGCGCACGCCGCCCGCTGCGGGGCCCCGGGCTGCAGGGCGGCAGCTCTCAGGGTCGGGCGCCTGAGGCGCCTGCGATGCCCAAAGCCCGGAAGGCGGGGTGCGGGAGAAGTGAGGGGAGCTGGAACGAGGGACGCGGAGGCCTCTCTGGGGCCGACACCCGGGGTGGGGTGTCACCAGGAGAGAGTGGCAGAAGCTCCTCCCTCACGCCCACCCCTGTGTTGCAGGAGCTGGTGAGGGAGATGGTGCACGCCGACGTGGAGCTCATGAGGACAAACCCCAATGCCTGAGCAGCGCCTCGGAGCCCGGCCCGCCCTCCGGCTACAATCCCCGCAGAGTCTCCGGTGCAGACGCGCTGCGGGGATGGGGAGCGGCGTGCCAATCTGCGGGTCCCCTGCGGCCCCTGCTGCCGCTGCGCTGTCCCGGCCGCAAGAGCGGGGCCGCCCCGCCGAGGTTTGTAGCAGCCGGGATGTGACCCTCCAGGGTTTGGGTCGCTTTGCGTTTGTCGAAGCCTCCTCTGAATGGCTTTGTGAAATCAAGATGTTTTAATCACATTCACTTTACTTGAAATTATGTTGTTACACAACAAATTGTGGGGCCTTCAAATTGTTTTTCTCTTTTCATATTAAAAATGGTCTTTCTGTGAACTAGCATTCACAGGGTCAGTGTGGATGTTTTCTCCCAAGTTATGAACACGGCTATAGGGGTCCCCAAACAACCCCACAATCCAGGCCTTGGAATGAGATCGCTGTGGTCAGGCCTTGCCCTGTTTTGAGAAAGCCCTTGGTGGGAGGACTCCTGCAAGGCTAAGGGGGGCGGGGGTGCTCCGGCGAGCCTCCTCCTTAGTCTTTGCCTGGGACATTTCTTTCCCCCTCCTGGTGACAAGTCACTCTGGAAACCTAGTTCCTGCAGAAGGGAGGAATTCACACCCTGGCTGGTCTCTGCTGACTATAATTAGAACCCAAGGGCTCTCACCCATCTGAAAAAGAAGTCTTGAGAAATAGAGGGGGGTCAGAAGAAGAAACTTGAAGGTAAGCAAATACTGTTGGAACATTCCATGGCAAAGCCACCAAGTTACCTAGAGGTCTCTGAGCCTGTGCCTTTCCTTGTGGTCTAGAATCTTTTACACAGTGCTTATTTGCAGCCTCTTCTTATGACTACTAGGTCACTTTTTAAATCTCAGTTTAATGTATTCATTCAGCCATTTATGTTAAGTGCCTAATACATGCCAGACATTGTGCTATGCACTTGAACGACATCAGCGTTAATTTGAAGCTATAATAAAAAGGTTTAAGGCTCAGCCTCAGATCTCTGGATCTGGTTTGTTTGCATGCATCATTTAGGTGGCCTGGGTAAGACCACAGGTGTGTGCTCCTGAGCTGTGTATGGTGTACAGCTACAGGTAGGCTGACGCACACATGTGCAGGACACCCACAGGCAGCAAGCAAGGATTCATGTACAGGTGTATACCTCCACATGAAATACAGTATTTTGCCCTAGAACAAATTAGGTCAGGACACTTCTCCCCCTCACTCCCCTTCCAAGCAAAATAAAATAAAACTTTATAGCAAATGGAATTCCAGCCTTTGCACATGTGTGTGTGAGTGCGGGTAAACTATTTCTGAACGTCTTCACAGGCAGGTTTATGATCTGGGGGAGGACCGAGTCTCCAACGACTGGCGCAGGAGAGAGGGCTCTTTGTGTGGCTGCCCAGTTGCTGTGAAAGCTTGCTGGCCGGGCGGCCTCGCCCTCGATGGAGCAGAACTGGGGGGCCTGAGCTAGCCCACCCGCTCCTCAGAAGCTGTCCCAGGACTCGCCTTCTCTGCACTCCCAGGCGGGATGCTGCTAATTGGAAACACATGGTTGCTGGGAGGCCGGGCCTCAGCCTGGGCGGGATAGTGGGCACACACACAGATACATACTCACACATTGGCTCGAACACAAACATCCATGCACATCCATTCACAAGTGCACATACACTCCACAAACATGCCATCTCACAGTCACACATTCTCACAAACACTTGCAAACCCAACTCCCAAACCCACTGTCACACACATCCTCCAACAAATCTCACAAAGAGTCACATTCCTCTTAGCCTTGACCCTGATGGGCAGGCACCCCCTCTCCTCTGACCACCGGAACCTCCCTTCCCACACCCAGGAGAGACTATTCCAGGGGCCCTCAGGCTTGCCATGGCCCTGTTTAATTCAGTGTTGCTTGTTTGGACACCTAGAATCAGGAGAGATTCTAGGCAGGGGTTTATGCAGCTCCAGTTGAGCCATGATGTTGAATTCTACTTCTCCAAACGGATGGCAGCATCCATGTTTGAAGGAAACTAAAAAGTATTTTTGGTTGCAACCTTCTCACTGCTCCTGCACCCTGAGTAATGGAAGGAGCGGGAGTTCATTTGGCTTCCTGGTGTATGTGGTTTAAAAGGAGAAAAGGAGAATCGATTTACTTCGGCATTTTTTATCTATTTCTGTGCTATGAGAGAAATTCATTTGGACATCCTTCAAGACAATTCTTATTACAGGGTTTCTTCTATCTTAAATCTCAATTAAATTTCAGTAAACTTATTTTTTCCTGCTCTGCCAGACTTTGGCTGTTGGTTTCAAATGTTACAAAACATCTTCCACCTTGATATTTTTAAGGAAAAACTGAGAAAGTTAAACCTTCAGTTAAACTCACATACCATGGCAAAGCAATCTTGCCCGAGTTTGTGCAGGAGGTGCGTGGAACCCGGGTAGGCCAGGCCCCGTCGCGGGCTCTCTCTGCTGCCCTTTGTCTTTAAGGAATTGCGAGCGAGCTAGGCCCAGCATAATAAACCTGTCACACCTCTGCAGCTGTTTAGGGGCTCAGGCTCAGCCGCTGCTGCTGCTGCGCGCAAGATGGCTCCTTCGGAAGGCCGGGTCCGCTTGGCCGCGGGCGCTGGCGAGGAGCGGGTCGGCGCTGGCAAACCCCACAGGCATGGCTTTGGGTTCTTTTTCGCCCCTTTTAGTAGCCTTCGCCTACACCAACCACCGCGAACCTCGTGGAACCTCTGGCAGCCAGTTGGAGGGCTCCTGGCAGATGCAAGGAGTGTTATTATCGCACTAATGTGTTATTAGAGCTTGGAGCAGGCAGCACTTTAAACATTCACTTGAAAATAACCTTAAATGTATTGTTTACAAGTAACTTTTTAACACCCCTCCCCCCAAGTCTCAAAGCACCCTACGCACTTTATTTGGATTTGGGAGTGCCTACTGGGTGAATTCTGTTTTAAGGTGCAGCCCACACACGTCCAGGTGTTTTCTACAACCTGCATCCTTGATTGGTACGCGGGTGGCATGGAGGGGTGGTGGCAGCGCCCATCTAGGTTTTACAAAATGAGTGTCCCTGTGTGTGCGTGGACGTGCCTCACAAAGAGACCTTCACGTCCGTACATGCCACCCGCACCCTCCAAAAATTGTGGATTGCCATCACGGGGGTCGCTAATACTTTTAACAAGCAGCAGGGGCAATGGGGGACAAAACGGCGCTAGGAACTGGTCCACCGTCCACAGTGTGTCCCCTGAGAACACCCGGGGTCTGGGCCTGATCTCCAGGAGTTGGAGGAGGCGCCCCCGCCCCGTGCCAAGCGGGCCCAAGGCCCGAGGCTCCCCCGCTCACAACCCCGGTGCCCGGAACACGTCTTCGAGGGGCCGTGCTGTCGGGGTTATTACTCGCGACTGGACCTCGCGCCGTGTTGCTCTCCTCGGGCCCCGAGCCCGCCCAGCGGTCTGCACGGCCCAGGCCTGAGCTGCGGGCTTCTCCTGTGGGGCGCGCTGGGAGTGAGCTCTATCCCCAAAGCCCATTTCAACGTCCCAGGTATGACTACGACGGCAGAGGCCGGCCGCCCACCCTCGCCCCCTTCCCCGGCCAGAGCGCCTTTGCCGGGAGCCGACGACCGCGGCCTGACCCCGGGCCCCACCGCCTACTCCCGGCTCCCGCCCTTCCTCCACGGTCAGGGGTCACACACAGCGGACGCCCCGTTCTCAGCCGCCCCTCTGATCTCTGAATTTGGGAGCCAGCGTGTCCGCTGGGGCATGCACTGCCACGGGCACTGGGACCCCTTTGCTGCTGCGGGGAGGAGCCCCGACGGCAGGTGGGAAGACCTAGCCTGCCCGCGTCCCCGCTCCCCAGCTCCTGCGACCCGGGCCGAGGCTCTCAGCCCCTGGGCTTCCCCGCTCCGGGTTTGAGGGAGGGGCCGGGCCTTCGGGCCTGCAGACCCGCCACCGCGCGTGCGCATGCGTCGGCCGCGAGCCCCCGGGTGCAGGCCTGGGCGGCTCCGGCCCGCGCACTTGTCCAGGCGCTGCGGCTCAGCGCGCCCCAACCTCCAGCTCGGGCGGAGAGCGGGGGCGGGACTGAAGCACCGTGTTCCTCAAAGTATCCTCTCGCCGTCGGCAGCCCTGGCCTCGCAAATGCTCCAGCGCGCTCAGGCGCACGCAGAGACTGGCGCGGCAGCCTCCGGGCCAACGGCACGCGAGCAAAGCTGGTTGGCGACCTGGGACACGCAGTAGAAGTTGAGGCTGCACCGACTCCCGCCGCTTCGGGGGAGGCATGGGCCCGGGCAGGCCTAGGAGGAAGCTGCACAGCCCGAGGCCCGGGCGGGAGTGGCGGGCCGCGGGCAAGGGAACGTATATTTGGAAGGGGTCAGGACCTCGGCTGGAGTCTGGCTTTTTATGGCGAGGAAGCCGACTGGGAAGGGCCCTCTGGCGAGGCTTTCCTGTTGTGCCACTTTTCCCCGGCAGCGCCGGGCGCGGGGAACGCGGGGCTGCACCGGGGCGGGGGAGGGGGCTTTACCCGGCGGCTCCGAGGACTCGACTCTGGGGTCGGGCCCGGCGGGTAGGCCTGCCCAGGAGCCAGCTGGCAAATGCAGCGGACTGTCACGTTATTCCACTGTCACCACTTACTGTAAATCACTGTCCTAAGCCTCCGGGAGAATCCGTCGAACCTGAGAGGGGGGAGGGGGATGGGGGTGGGCGCGCAGGAAGCCCCACAGGCACCAGGGACTGGTGACCCAGGACATCAGCCCCTCGAGTTCTCTCTGGGAATTTCTAGCACCCAGACTGTCCCTGACTGTAGGGACCACGGTGGGGCGTCTTCCTTCTAAGCTCTCCCCGGGACACCGGGCGCGCCCCCCTCGCCCCTGGGTTAGCGCACACTCCTCCACGCGATGACCAGCACAGCCACTGTGAGGCCCGGCCTTGGCCGCGTTTGTCCTTTGCGAGTGATAATAATAAAAATCATTGGAATTGCAAGGAAGCCCCTGGCCCCGGCTCCCCAGCCGCTGCTGTCCTGGGTGTCCCGGCTGCGGAAAGACCCCGCAGCCGGGCCCGACCCACGAGTGGAACACCGGGCTGCGGACCCAGCCGGGCCTACAGGACTGGCGCGGGGCTCCGGGGACAGGCCTCGCAGGGCCCTCCTGCGCACCGTCTGGGACGCCGATTTTGCCAACTTGGAGGACAATTTTTGTTTTCACTCTACCAGCAGATTTTTAAAAATCCAGTCGCCGCTGAAACGTGCTTCCCACCCGTCCGGTTTGTTTGTAGCCTTTGACGAGCCCCGGCACAGCCTCCGGGACCAATGACCTGCTTTTATACCGAAGGAAATGTGGAGGCCTTAAGAGTTAATGGCGCTAAATGTGTTGGTTTTCCTGCTTTTTCCCCGGGGTAGGTAATGGGAGGGGGGATGTCCCTCTCTCCACGTCTTCCCTCCCCCTCTCTTTCCATCTCCCTCTCCCCCATCTCGGGATCTAAGTCGTCCTCAAAGCTCTCCAAAAAACTCCTTCCTTTCCCAACCTTGAGTACAGGGAACCACATAACCACCCCGCTGGAGCCCCTCCCTGGAGCCTCCTCCGCCTCTCTAGGCCCTGCCTGGGGTCCCACCACTTGGGTCAAGCCAGAGGCCTCACTGCCTGGTCCTGGCTCCCGCTCTGATGCTCACTTGCTGGGCTCACAAATTGCTCTCCCATGCCCACCCAAGTAGCACCAAGCTGTGTTGACTTAGGGGGCCAAGGAGCAGCCCACTGAGTCCCCTCAGTAGGAGCGGCCTGCAGTGGCAGCTGCAGGAGAGGGTGGGCCCGTCAAGTCCTAATGACACCCATGGGGACCAGTGGGCTTGGAGGGGCCCACGGACACGCCAGAGAAAGAAGATGCTCTTTGGAGAAAGGGAGGCATCCTCTGGACCAGGAGGGGGCCCGGGAGAAGCCCCATTGAGGCTTGCCAGGTCACCCTCCCAACCCCAGGCAGGGAGATTCTGAGCTGGGAGCAATTCCAAGCCCTCCCCGAGGACCACACAGACCCAGCCTCTTCTCTCTGGCTGTGTCTCCCTGTGTGAGCTCCAGCCTTCTCCAAGACAGGGCCAGGTCTATGTGCAAGGAAATTCCAGATCCTACTGCATCTCCCGTAATACGCTCAATATGCTGCAAATTTGAAATCAGTGAGGGAAAAAATCAAGTAAACAACCAAAAAAGTAATATAAACCAGAGGGTCTCTTTGGGGCCAGGGTAAGATGGGAAAGGAGCACAACAAAGGTCTTAAATTGAGCCGTACGCTCCCCGCGTCGTACTTTGGTTTCCAATAAGGTAGATATGGTACATTTTGCTCAATTTTCCAGTCGTAATCACGTTGAGAAGGTTCGTGGAGAAGCTGCTTTCATTTTCCTAAATGGGTTTTGGAGCTGGAATTCATTTACTTAAGTATTGTTTCTTTCCCAGCCGACTAGGACCTGGAACCTGCCTGTCCGGCTGCAGTGTGGCCCCAAGTCTGTTGAGGCCTGGGCGCAAGCTCCGCATCAGGGCTGCATCCGGCCCATCCCCCAGATGGTGCAGTGGAGGGCAGGCATGCAGGCCCCTGAGCTGGGCTCGGAGTGGGGACATCCCAGAGAAACTTTGGGGCCCCACAGCCTTCTGTGGGGGCAGGAAGGGAAAAGGATGGGGAAAAGTGACAGAGACGAAGAGACAGACACAAAGACGCACAGAGCCTAATGGTTATGATGCATTCCCACCGAAAAGGGGGAGATGGGATAAAAGAGGGTGGGAAATCAAGGCCTCGGAAGCTTCAGACAAGAAGACAGAGCCCCAGCTGCAAAGGAAGACATTCGGTTAAGGTGGGAGGGAAAGCATCAATAATAAAAGCTCTTTGCAGGGAAACTTTTGGCTTTGTTATAAATGGAAATAGAAGATTTCAGAAAGTGGGCTTTCTGAAGCTGGCATTTAGGGCCCCATGGCAAATCTCAGTGGGTTTCTCTTCCTGCCTAAGTGGACGTTGTCAGAATAAATTAAACTTCCCTGTCGGGAGCTCTCCTGAGCTCCCCCCTCAGATGGGTGGGGGGAAGACTGACACAGTCTCTTGGTCCTACACCCCAATCTCTCTGCTTGGCTGAAGAATGGCTGCCCGCACACAATCATATTCTGTCCTGCCTGGCCAGCTTTATGACTTGGCCACCATCAATCTTGCCCCTAACACGACATTTGTTTATGACGGGTGGGAAGGGCTAATGGCTTCATGAACTGTCCATGAAATGCCTGTAGTGGAGAAGGCCCTGCAATACCAGGCAGGCCCAAGGAGCAGGGGACTCGGAGCTAAGCTCTGAAGCAAATGGCCGGGGTTGGGGGAGGGGGGGGTGGCCTCGCAAATGAGAGCCCCTCTCACAGAGCTCTCAGAGGTGGGGCAGGAGTAGAGGGAAACTGTCACTCCAACTGGCCTTGCTTTGGGTGCCACTAACAGCCTCAGAGAACACTGGTGTGGGTGCCTGAGGCCTGATCAAGTATGGATACCTCTTGTCCCTCCTGGGCAATCTGTCCAGGCAGCCTCCACCTGCAGAGGGTTCAGAGTCTCTTGGGTTTTGCACCATTAAGAACAAAACTAATGACATTCCGCCTTAGAAACGGAGACCCCTGCCCTATGTCCTTTCCTCGCCTATCAAAGTTAGGGAGAGCCCAATAGGACTATAAGGCACTCTTGTTTCCTGACCCTTGTTTCTGACCCGGCAGGAAACAGCCAGGAGCTTACAGGCCACCAGTACAATCGAGCCCTATTCCTTTGCAAGCATCGATTATTAATGACACAAATTTTGTGGAATAATAAATTGTAAAATGCATGCTTGTTTGCACTCAGTCTGGAGAAAAAGGTCTGCTAACTACACAACCCTGGAGAAGTCAGCACCGGTCCCTCCCACACGTGCAACATGCCAAATGCAAGACTGCCTATGGCATGTGGCATGCTGGCATTTGTGTAGTCGTGGCATAAATTGCTATTAAAATAAATGTGCCCATTTCTGCATAAAGGACAAAATACTTACTCTCCTAAAGCTTTTTACAGAGGCTATTTTAAAAATTAGCTGATTCCCCGCCATGGATCTGGACTGCTGTCACAGGCTAATTTCAAAATGTACTGGCTATTAGTTAAACTATCAAGGAGTTTTTCTTAGAATATTTCACAGGAAAATTATCCTTATTCCTAAAACAGTACAAACCAAACGTGCAAACCTCTAAGGAATAAGTAGTGCCACGTTAAATAAGGTTGGCAGAAGTTGGTTTTCTTAAATCGGGTGTGAGAATCGAAAAGGTAATGTACTGATAGTAGGAGACATTACCTAGATGTGGTTTTTAAAATCCGAATAATGAGCAGAACTTCTCTCCTTCCACTCAACATAGCTTCTAAACTTGCACAGGCAACGAGTGCAGAAATGACTACGTCATGTATGTTTAACACAAACACCTTCTTAGACACATGTGTGTTTCATGCCTAATTTTCAAACATTCGAATAGAAGAGGGTAAAGCAAGTTGCTAAGAAGCTTTGCTCGCGCACGCCTATAAACACTCTCGACCTGTGGGCCAGGGGCTCCTCGCTGGCCACGGAAACCGAAGCACCGCGCTTCGCCCCGTACCCGCTTCCTCTCCTGCAGCTGGGACTGGAGCCCCGCAAGGAAGGACAGGGGCTGCTCTCGGCCCACTCCTCGGCAGGCCAGACTCGGCAGGGCCCCCAGCCGGGAGCGGGTCGACTCTTTCCCAGCTCGCTCCCGCCGCTGGGAACGGTGCAGAAAAGCCCGCCGAGCTTTCCACTGCCGACCTGGGCCTAGGCCGGGGCTGACTGCGGCCGCCACCTCCTCCGGGCCGCAAAGCCGAGACCCAAGGAGAGTGGAGAGTCGCAGGCACGTGGGCTCGGAACACGCTGAGCCTGCAGCTCGCCCGAGGGCTTCTGGCATCCTTGAGGCCGAGCGACTCCCCGCACGGCCACTGCCAAGCGACTGGTGGCCTCTGCAAACCTCACACACCGCGCGAGGACGCAGCCCTGCCGGGGAGGCCGCCTGGGGCCGCAGCGCCGGCCCGGGCAGGTCTGGTGCGGCCAGGCCGAGGCGGGTGGGCCGGGGGTGGCCCTGCAAACGCGCAGCTCCGGGTCCCGCGCCTGGAGGCTGCGGGCCGGCGCGGGGCGAGCTGTCACCCGTGAGCAATGAAGTGCCTCTGACCTTTCCACCCCAGCTGCGCTCCTAAACACACGTGCGTCTTCACAACAAAGGAGGCCAGCGAGGAGGAAGTGAGAGCTCGGCGGGGCCCTGCGGCGCCAGGCGGAGACGCGGGGTGACCGGGCGAGGGAGCGGGCTCCTCCGAGCTTCTCGGCCGGAGCCCCGAGGGCGCTTCTCCCGGCTCGGCGCCCCCCGCCCCGTCCCCGTCCCCGGCACCGCGCGCCTGCCACCCTCCCTCAGCGCGCGCTTCCCGGCACCCCGACCCAGCCCGCGAGGAACCCAGCGAAACTAACAGGGGTCTCCCTTTGACTCGCTTTTCTCCAACGACTAATTTCAGGAGGAGGCCGCGGAGGCCGGGGCTAATCTGGGGAGGGGGGTGTGGGGAGGAAGGAGCTCCAAACGCAAACCGAAGCCGGGCCCCGCGCCGCCGCGGGTAATTACAGCTCATTAGCTGGAGAGCGTTGCCGTCGCGAGCGGCGTCCAGGAGGCCGGCGTCGGGGCGGGCGCGACTCGGAAGGGACCGGGCCTGCGAGAAACGCCCCAGCCGGAAAGCCAGGCGTGGGCCGCGCGGGTCTCCACCCGCCACCCCCTACTCCACAGAGTCCGACCGGACACGTCGAGAACGGTACCGTCTCCGGCGGCCGAGCTGCTCCGCCTCGGGCTGGGCCAGCCCGCCCGTGGGGACAGGGCCGTGAGTCACCTGCTGCAGCTCCCCTTCCGGGCCTCGACACCCCAGCTCCGGCCGCGGGCCCTTTGTCCGCAAATCCCAGCTCCTCGCCGGGCTCCCCAAAGTGGAGCGATCACACCAAACTCCTGGAGACTGGCGGTGGAGTCTCTACCGTCACCCCCTCCCCTTCCCCCGCCCCGAAAGAGGCTGTAACCCGAGGAAGCTGGAGGCAGCCCCGGGACCTAGCGCCGCGACAGCCCAGCGAGATTTAAACGGGGCCGTGAGGCCACCCCCAGCCCGCCTGCCCCGAGGAGACACCCGCGCCAGCGCCGCTGCGATCTTCCCGGCGATTAGGTTACGACCCTGGGGGAGGGGACCGAGCGAATCACAGGCCACGTAGAGCAGTTTTTGACTGAAATTAAAGTGTATTTATTTGCAGCAATCCTTTAACAATGATCAAATTTTGACAACAAGCAACAGCAATTACTGCTTAAGTGTTGCCTCTAGATAGGAGCGGCAGATAGCAGGAAACTGTATTATCTCCAAAACAAACTGCAAGCCCCCCACCCCCCCGAACGTCTGTAATCAAATCGCCATCTCCCCAAAGTCTGATTGGCAGGGCAGATCACCCTAAGATAATGAATTTATTACATTTCCTGGGTTATTTACAAAAGGGGGAGGGCCAATCCGGATTGTCCCCTAGGTTTAACTGTAAATTAACAAGAAAAAATGGTTTAAAAAGAAACCACCCTAGACCAAAATGTTCTGCTCCTCTCGCCTTCCTTCTTGTTATTGCTTTAAATCTTTTTCAAAAATAATTGTTCTACAAACATATTTTCTAAAATAGTTTCTCAAAGATTAAATATCCCTTTCCAACCCGCAGTATATTTTTAAAAAAGCAATCCTTCTATGTAATACATGAAGGATTGTAAATGGGGGAGAATTATATACATACATTTAAAAACTGGTTTATTTTTCCTTTTATAAAGGACTGAAATAATAGGAAAATATCTATTCAGCATCTGGCTCACAGGGATGTATAATATGCACTGCAATTTTATATGGAATACACAAGCCAAATATTTATCTGTGCATATCTGGCCGCACAGTCCCATCTCTCGGCACACAGGCATCACCGTGGTAAGACCGCGGCTGATTCATGGGCTTAAAATTTCCGAATCATGGACTGTCATTAGTGAGAAAACGTATTTGTTTATATGCCAACTCCAATCTGTTTAGAAAAATATCTTTTTACTAGCCTCAAAGCAAGCTGACTATATAGTACATTTTGCAGAAGATGCTGCAGGAAAATAAATCTAAACAAAAAGACTTTTAGTAAAATTTGACATGGACTAGTCAGAGGGTTTCTCCATTTTTCAGAGATTTAGGTGGAGAATAGGTAACTTCTAGTGTTTTATCTCTGAAATCTTTTTTCGTAATAATTAAAGCTCTATTAAAGTATCCAGACATATAGGTCTCATTCAAACTGAATGGTAATTTATTAATAAACAAACAATGAATATGTTCAACAAAAAGAAAGAAAAGAGGATAGAATAAGATTAATACAGTTTCCCTTTTTATAATGAGAAAAAAAGCACAATTTAAAGTTTCAGGCAATTTAACGTCAGGTTTTGGGAACACTTTCTGGCGTTTGGTCCACGACATCCAACTACAAATTAAAAATAAATTACTATGTTGCAATTTACATTTTAAAACAAGTCCATGAATAAAAAGAAAGCGACTTTCATAAACGGGGACTTTCCCCCTCCCTTCAACATAGGATAAAATAATATCTTACAGGTGAGAGGCAAGGAAGAAGGCAAGAGAGGGGAGACGGGAGGAGGGGAAAGCAGGTCTCTGAAAAGCAAGAAGAAACTTACGTGTTATCTGGAGTAACACTGTCCTTTAATAAACCAAGATTTTGCTGTCTCTGTATAAAACAGTTTACGGGTTTGTTTATTTAGACAAGGCAAAGTGGAGGTGGCTCTGAATTAATCGGTTAAGAAAATAGAGTTTTCTTCGTGCTGGTGCTGGTGAGCTGAATTTTTGGAGGGATATTCTGTTCGCTGGTGTGGTGAATATTCTCAGGGGTTTTTTTTAATTGGATTTTTTTTTTTTAGTTTCGATTTTGCCTTGATGGGTTCCTTTAGCTTTTCCTGCTTTGGGGTTCGATTTAGTTCGGCTTTGAGGGTGTGTCAAAACTTGCTACAGTCGTAGACGAAAGCTCCGGACGTGCGGTACAGAGACTGGCTGGAAGGGAAGGCCATTTGACAGCTACTATTCCCGTTCACTGGAGAGTTGTTCAAGCCGATCCTCTGTGACTCGAACATCTCCCGCACCGAGTGGAAGTTCTGCTGCTGGCCCGGGTAGCCTGCGGCCGCCGCCGCCGCCGCCGCGCTCGCCAAGTGGCCCAGGTCTCCGCCCGCCTGGTTCAGGTACCACGAGGTGAGGCGGCCTTGGTGGGCCGCAGGGTGGTGGCCGGCCTCCTGGCCTCCCCCGCCGCCGCCGCCGCCGCCGCCGTGACTCAGGGACGACGAGCTGCTGCTGGTGACCGGAGGCAGAGAGTAGTCGGGCAGGGGGTCGTCCACGGCCGAGCCGCCCGCGCCCCCGGGCGCGCCCTGCAAGTGGCCCCCGCGCTCGCCGGCCGCGTACAGGCTCATGGCTTGCAGGTTGCAGTGGTAGGTCCCGGCGCCGCCCGCGCCCCCCGCGGCCCCCGCGCCGCCGCCGCCGCCGCCCGAGCTGCCCGCGCTGGAGGTCTGGCTGCAGGGGGAGCTGTAGAGGGAGCTCTGGCCGGGCGAGTAGGCGCCGAGCGCCAGCGGGGGTGCGATCCCCGCGCGCGAGGACGCGGCCGCCGAGGCCAGAAGGCCGGAGCTGAGCTCCGCGGCCGCGCTCTGCGGCGACCCCCGCAGCGACGTCATGATGTTGTCCACGCTGAAGCCCTGGCTATGGTGCGGCGGCGGGGCGGAGGGCGCGGGCGGCGGCGGCGCGGAATCCGCACCGTCCAGGCTGAGCGGCCGCGCCGACGGCAGGCTGCCCGGGGGGCTGCTCCCGCTGGACAGGCTGCTGCTGCTGCTGTCGGGGCTCTCGATCTTGGGCACCGCGGCGGCGCTGCCGCTGCCCAGGGCGGCGGCCGGGGACAGGGGCTGGGGCGGCGAGGGGCACGTACCGTTCTCGGTCTTGATGTCCTGGATGCGCACGGGCGGCGGCTGCGGACCGGGCGCGTTGCCGTCGGCCTGCTCCGGCGGCGCGGGCGGGGGCTGGCGGCCGGGCGGGGGCGGCTCCTTGAGGTGCAGCCTGTCCTTCTCCTCCTTGTCCTTCACCGCGTCCTTCTTCTTGAAGCGCCGCCGCCGCCGCAGGAAGCTGCCGTTCTCGAACATGTTGTAGGAGTCCGGGTCCAGCGTCCAGTAGCTGCCCTTGCCCGGCTTCTTGTCGTCGCGCGGCACCTTGACGAAGCACTCGTTGAGCGAGAGGTTGTGGCGGATGCTGTTCTGCCAGCCCTGCTTGTTGTCCCGGTAGAAGGGGAAGCGGTCCATGATGAACTGGTAGATGCCGTTCAGGGTGATCTTCTTGTCCGGGGCGTTCTGGATGGCCATGGTGATGAGCGCGATGTAGCTATAGGGCGGCTTCACCATGTCCTTGGGCTGCGGCTGCGGCGTGTAGGGCCCGTAGGCGCGGGCCATGCCGCCCGGGTACTGCTCGGCGTGCGCAGGGTGCGAGTACACGCTCATGGGGGCCGGCATGGCGGTGTAGCCGCCCCCGGCCGCCGCGGCCGCCGCGCGGTAGTAGCTCTGCTCGCCGCCGAGGTAGGGCACCACTCCCAGGGAGTTGGGGCTGGACACGGAGTAGCGCGCCTGCATGGCCCCCGCTCGCCGCCGCCCCGCGCCGCCCGCCGCCCCCCACCCTCGCTCGGGCCGGGCCGCGCCGCGCCGGCCGCCGAGTCCGAGTCCGGGCCCGGCCGAGCTGGTGCCGGCCCGCTGCGCTGTGCGTCCGGCTGCGCTGCCGCCTCTCCCGGCGCTCGCTGGGGCTGGCTCCTCCGGCGCCTCGGGCTACCTCGGGGCCCGCGCGGCCGCGAGGCGGGGTCGCTGCGAGGGGAGAAGGCCGGGCCCGGCCGCGGCAGACCGCCTTGCAGGAACTCGCGGCGCAGCTTCCAGGCGCAAACGGGGGAAAGCAGACAAAAAGAAAGAACAAGCAGGCGCCCTTCTCGCCACACTGCCTGCGCCTTCCAGGAGACTCTGCCCTGAGCTGCCGGCGAAGGCGGCCAAATAACCAGGGCGGGGGGGGGGGGGGCCGCGCGCCGGCCGCCTGCCCGGGCCCCGCGTCACCTTTTCTCGGTCTCTCGCGCGCCAGCCGCTTAAGGAAGCATTGGGAAAACTTCTGAACTTTTGAGCATCCGTCACCCAGGCGAGGACTTTTTTACGCAGTTACACTTTTTTCCGGGCAGCGGAGCCCCGCCCCGCCAGCGGCGGCAGCCAATGGGAGGTGAGAACCGCCTCCGAATGAGCCGGAGGCCGAGCCCTGCCGGCCCGCTCCCGGAGGCCGGAGGACCGCGGGGCTGACCACACGCGCGCCGGCCGCCCTGGCCCGGGCCCCGGCCCTGCGCCCGCGCCGGCGCCCGGCCCGCCGTCGGTTCGCCCCCCGCAGTCCACCTGCCTGCCGCCGGCGCCCGGCAGACCTCCCACCCCGGGCCCTCCGGACCCACGCCCGCCGTTCGCGCAGACTTCCTGGGTCCTCCCGGGACCCCGTGCAGACCCTTCCTTCGCCCACGGCTCCCGAGTGGCCCTGGCGTCTCCGCCCCGCCTCGTGCTGGCTCGCTCTCATTCCTTCGCCAGCCCCGCCGACGCCAGCGCTGGGGTTGCCCCAGCCTCTCCTCCCCGCCGCCTCTCCCCTCCCGCAGCCCCTTCCCTCCCTTCTCCAACGCCAGTCTCACTCGGGTCACTGACGTCTCCGGCTTTTCTCCACTTGGAGGTTCTCCTGTCCTGAACTCGGCTACAAAGGACATGATTTTGAGGGCTCGGTCACAGCCAGGCCCTGCTCGCGGTGGGGAAGAAGGTTCGTCGCCCATCTGGCCCCCCTCCATGACCCCTCCCCAGCCGAAATGAAGGCAAGGGGTGCGGGGCCCTGCTGGGAGTTTCCGACGGCCGTTCACCCGCGAAGGATGAGCCCGCCCCGCTGCGGGCCGCCCTGCTTCTCGCCCCCCTCCCCGGGGGGCCGGCCCTTGGCGGCCTGAGGGTGCGGGCGGCGAGGGCTGCCGGAGCCCGGCTGCTGCCCCGCGCTCCCCTGCCCGCCCGCGAGGGTCCCACCGGCTCGCCGCGCCGCCGCCCCCTCTGATCCCGTCAGGCCCGTTTCGGCTCAGATGAGGGGTCAGGCTGCGGGCTCGGTGACATTAGCAGGTGTGATGACAAGAAGCAAATAAATATGTCTAAGAGCTTAACGCTTCCCCAGGCCAGTCTCCATCTCCACATGCGCGGGGCTGCCGGCTCGCAGAGACAACGGGTGTGTCTGGGGGAACGTCCAGGGTCGCACCTAGAGGGCGGTTCAAGGATTCTGGGGGGACACGCACGGAAGGGCCCCCGCTCGTTGTGCACACGCCTGAGATTCGCCGTCGCTGGGTGGTTGGAATGGGACAGGAAGAAGAGAAATGAGGGAAAGAAACGAAGGAGCGGGAAAGAGCCAGGCCTCCCTCCCCCGGCACGGCGATTCTGCATTTTAGCGACTTGAGGAGAGACCCTCCCGGAGGCTGAATCCCAAGTCGTTCACTAGAAGCTGGGGGAAGTGGCGAGCTCAGGAGACTGCGAAGAAGCGTGCGTGACGCATTTAACAGCTCCGCTGCCCCTGATTTCCGACCATCTATTAAATCCAAGGACATGTTCGGGACCCCTTTTGTCTCCCCGGTTCGAATCCCGGCTTCCTCACGTTGGCAGGAAAATTCAAATTGCAGCTTCGGCTGTTACATGTGAAGGACGCTGACGTGTAGCAGGCGCATCTCCGTGTCACCTGAATATTTAAAAATTACTGTTTCATAATGGACATTGACATCGAAGGAAAGAGGACCTGCCTCTTCTAGAATTAGCCTTTGGAGGAGGGAGGGTTGCCCCGAGGTTGCTCTGAATCCCGGGGCAGCTGCCTCCTGGCCTGCTGTGCGCCGGGGTCTCTGGAGACTCCTTTTCCAGGTGGTTTGCGGGCCAAGTCACTGGTGGGTTGGAGAAGCACCAACAGGAGGCTCAGCACTTGCTGGTTGCCAAGGACACTAGACAGGGGCGAGGGTGGTGGTGAAGCCCCAGGACCTGAACACTTAATTCCTGTTCAGCCCCCAGCCCGGCACCCTGAAGGTCTTATCAGCCCGCCTGGTCGAGGCTTTAAGGAGTGCTGTGGCTTCAGCCTGGAGGAGATTTAAGTGGTCTCCCTGAACACCTCAGCAAGTGGTGAGTTCGGTCTTGAAGCTGCCTTTTACACTGCTAGCGGTGCGCGGAGATGAACGCAGCGATTACGGATGCTTTGTTTTCCGAATGCGGGAAACGCCTTCGGCCCCGAGTTTTGCAACAGGCAATGGTGCCCCGCTGCCCCCTCCCCCACCAGCCTGTCGCCTCCTGCTCTTCCCTGCCTCCTCCCTCCATCGGCCCAGTGAAGTGTAAACAGCTTGTTATGTAAATTGCAAATCGACCTGCAGCGGTGTTCTCAGCTCTCCGTTTTGGGTATAAAAGTCGCCGTTGTGAAATTAGTGTCTGGCGTGCGAGAAAAAATGGAGGGACGTAGTTTTATCAAGATCAACTTTCCACTGGTTTAGCTCTGGATATTCGCCAGGAAAAGATATTTGCATTTGTGTTTTATAAACTTACTCGGAAGCAAGCCTCCAGTAAGCGGCTTGATTGTATTTCAAGCACTTTTCTTATTTCATTTTTGTTGTTAGTGGTGTTATTTGAACATTAAGACGCAGGCATGAAGTCTTTTGGGGAACAGGTTAAAGCTTTTATTTTCAGGTTACAGTTTTTGATGCCCCTTTCTGCTACTCCACGGGGTACTTCAATCATCCGCTTCCGCACATCTCTTGACTCATTTGGCAGAAGAGCCCCCACGGGAACCCTTCGGCTTCTTTTCTGACACCTCACGTACTTGCAGCCTGAAGGCCCCGCAGGCGACAGCGGTAATGGATGTTTGGTGGAACCCTCCCTGGGCCCACACTCCGCCCCTCCCCAGCAGGCCGGGCAACAATTCCCAGGGCCCACCGAGGGGTGCTTAGCTCGGAGGAGGGGGAGTGACGTCACAGCGATGTTCAAAACAAGGCCTCCCCTGGCCCCACCATAGAAAAGCACCAGGAAGGGGAATGTGGCGAGCACTCCAGGAAATGCTCGGATTGGGGACCAGGTGACACTGTAGGAATGTGTGTGCTGGGGGATGGGATGGTGTCCTAAATATGGGTCACCAGGAGCCAGAAGGAGCTCTCTTTTTTCTTTTTCTTTTTCAAGTAAAGCAGAGGAGGTGGAGATTGGGATGGGGGCAGTCCGGAAAAATCACTCCCTAGGGGTGTGAGCTTAGCTCGTGTTGTGCGGATTGTCCCCGTCACAGCCCAATCACCTCTGTGGTGTGCCTAGACGCCCTCTCCCTTACCTCCCCGCTTTCTGGCTTCTCCATCCTCTGGGCTCTGGGTTCAGCCCTGAAAGCCGAACTGTGGGCTGCAGTGGGGAGGCGAGGGCAGGTAGAAACCAGCTTCAGGGGGGGCTCCACCTGGCCCAGGAGCTGGGGGACAACAGAAAAGGCAGGCTTAGGGCATGAGGGAAGGCGCTTCTCCTGCTGCACTGGGGCAGTGATTCCTGGGGGCTCTGCACACACAGGAGGGAGGCTGCAAGTCCACAGCTGCTTTAGCATCTTTCCCTTTGCTGGGGCAGACAGAGTGGAAGATTAAGGCAATTAACCCCAGAGGGCCACTAGAAAACTGTCCACTAGGCTGCCATCACAGACCACTGGAGCAAGGTCCGCTTGGGGATGTCTTTGAGCTTTTTAGATTACTTAGATAATTGTCTTAGTTCTCCATTCGGCCTCCTTTGCTTAGACCAGAATCCCAGGGGTAGGGGAGGATATCCTTGCATCAATGCCCGGCATTCGTTTTCAAACCACCAGGCCGGCAGGCAACGTTAGTCATCGGTGCGACTTTTCAGCGGAGGAAGGAGTGGGGACCGAACATCTGGGTGGCCGCGACCTTGGGCAGATACTCCTTAGCTGGGGGATTTTCAAGTAGAGGATTTGTCAGCACAGTCCCTCCAATTCAGCCCCGTCCTTAGTAGAAAAATTTCTACAATAAACGAAAAGAGCGTTTGGTTTTCGATTGTTTTAAAGACAAAGTGATCCATATTGCCTGTCTACATGGTTGGATTAATCCGATAGTTGCCCTCCTGGGGGCAGACCTCCACGGGAAGTTTGTGTGATGGGATAATTTAATGTCATCTAAGTCCCCTGGAGGGGCGGTTCCCCTAACTACTCACCCAGGAGAAAGCCAGCCAACACCTACCTGATCGTTCCCGCCTCGGGATGGCCCACCTATCGCCCCTTGGCAGGAAAGCCCCCGCCTCGAAGGGCGTTTCGGGGGCTCAGAGCCGAGCTAAGCTGCAAGAGGGGGCCATGGGGAATGCGGGAAGTGAATCTTTAACTTTGGTGCCCGGCTTCAAAAGACTCAGGGCTTCTTGTGTTCAGGCAGAGGTAAATGGAGATTCAAACTGTCGTCTTGCATTAACAATCCGGAATAAAAATAAAATTCGTAAAGGGATAGATGATCGGAAAGAACAAATGGTGCATGTGTGCGCGAACGAGCCCCAGTTTCTCTCCATCCAGGTCCCCAGCGGACTCAGAGCGGCCGCCGCACTCCACGGCCTGGGAGGACAGAGGCCCCGCAGCCTCCCAACCTCGGCTCATGTGGGGGGCGCGCCGCGCAGGGTGGGCGAGTCCCCAGGCCCCAGAGTCTGCCGGAGCCAGGGTGCGCGGTGCGGCGGGAGCCGGCCGTCGGAGGACTGCAGGGCGAAAGCGCCTTCCTGGGGCTGGAGCAGAAGGCGTGTGCCCCTGCACGGACGCGCCTTGGCTGTGGGTGTGGGAAGAAAGGCTTTGCCCCGTGAGACAGACCCACAGACAGCCCCGGAGCCGCCGGCGGGGTGAGGTGGGCTGCAACCTTGCAGGTGGCTGGCTGTTCCCAGGTCTCCGGCCCGGCGCCGCAGCGGACCCAGGCGCCGGGGCCGCAGCCAGCCTTCCTTCCGAGTGCTCCCTTCGCGGAACCCTGCGCCCTGGGACCTTCCTTCCGACGTCCCTCACCCCGGCCGGGGAGTGGCACCAACGCGGACGCACCGCCGGGCCTCCTGCGGGTAAGGCGCGGTCGGCCCCCAGCTCTGAGCCTTCTGGGCAGGAGCCCCGGGGGCCTGGGCCGGGGCCGGTGTTTGCACCTCTCAGGACAGGGACAAGGCCGACACCCGGCTCGGTGCAGCCGGCCTCCCCCGAGGACCTGAGGGCCGACGCCTCCGGGAACCGCTGGTCCTCGCGAGTGGGTCGGCGCCTGGCAGCGCGCGCCGGTGACCTGGTGGTCCGTCTGCTCCCAGGCCGCCCCTCACAGGCTTCCCGCCGCTTCCCCGCGAGCGTCAGCAGAAAAAGGGACGATGTGGAAGCCCGGAGGCCCCTTGGCCGACCCAGGCTGGGGCTCTCAGGCTGGGGGCACCTCACCCCGGCAGGTCCCGCGCCTCGGGAACCCGGGGCCAGGCAGCCGTCCTGGGCGCCCGCACCGCGCACTGCGCGTGCTACGAGCGCCCCCTGCCGTCGGAGGCGTTGTCTCCGCGGCGCCTCTGCCCGCGCCGGGCTCCAAGGGCCGGCTCCGCCTGTCCCCGCACAGCGTCCCCTGGGAACCGGGTCTCCAGAGAAGGAGGCCTGGGGAAGACCGCGCCGCCCGCGTGGGACCCCGCAGGGCCTGGCACCTGGTTTTCTAGGCTGCAACTCTCATCCCTCAGGGTCCGGGCGGGAACAGCCCCATCGGGGAGACCCTCTCAGACTTCCAGGCACAGACCACGGACGCTTTTGTTCCTGGAGTGGAGGGAGGTGACCCGAGACTGGGGCTTTCAGCCACCGCTACGCATTCCTTCCAGGCGGCCCTTTTAATTGACGTACACGTTACAGAAAAAGCAAGGCCGCTCCATCCAGTGAATTACATTGTGGGAGATGCCAAGGAATGTATTTACTGGCAGCCAGGTTTGCCAATAAAAGTTGCAAATAAAGACTGCTGGTTTCCAGGAAAATGTACTTCTGTTTTTTAAACACTCCTTAGTCTTAATTACCAAAAACTGAGCCTCCAAAGAACCGGTTTCGAGAACAGGACCAGTGAGTGGCGGTGCTGGCGAGGCCTCACACCCCCACGTGCAATCACACACCCCGATGTCGCCTATGGGAACAAGGACCATGCACACCTATGGCTTTGCCCACAGAGAGGCTCGCCCGTATTTACATACGCAGCAGACACAGACACAGGCGAAACGTTGGCACACAGAGAGGTATGCGCTCGGATTAGGGCTGTTTAGTTTGGAAGTGAAGAAATAAGAAAAGACAAACTATGGCAAACAGGCGAATTTCCACAGAAATAAATGTCTGCGAGGAAAGGAGGCACTTGCTCTGTAGTGTTTAGTTATGGTCGCCCTGGTAGTTCTTTTTAGTCCGACCGGGTTGACTATAAATGAAGGCAGCAGAGAAATGCAGAATTTACATTTACTAAAGGTCCGCTTTGGCTTGGGGTCACAAGGACCCCAGTGGGAATTAGAAAATCTCCCCACTCACTAGATGGAGCAGCACCTCCCCCCACAAAAAAAGGGGTTTGGGGCAGAGTGTGCACGCTAATGAGAGGCAAATTTATTCCATGTTTCTCCAATCTTAAACACGGACACTCATAACCACAATTATAAAGACTGGTAGGATGCACAGAACACTTAGTATGCGGTCATCCTGCTGTGTGCTTTAAACACTCCTTTCACCTAATCCTCACAAGGACGCTGACATGGATATTATGATCTACATCTTACACATGAGGAAACTGAGCTTAAAGAAAAGAGAGAGCTTTCCCAAGATTACACAGCCCTCGCAGTTGCACTCTGCACAGGCTCACTGGATCTAAGACGCCACTTATGATAAGGTACAGTGCTTATGAGCCACTAAGAGGGGAAAAAACTAAATTATTAAATATCATCAGTGGTAAATCTCATCTCCGTTTCAGTTGCTAAAATGAAAAAAAAAATGTGCATTTCAGATCGATGATACGTTTACTAATCCATGTAATCAACAAACACATAGAGGCCTGCTCCGTGTTTGGCTTTCTTCTAGCAGCTGGGTGTGTAACAGAGCACCCTTTGCAGACATCCATGAAGCTAAATACTAATTATTATGGGAAGGATGTTTACCCACAGCAACCGTTGAATCTATTATATATGTGTACACATACTGACTTGCACTGGTCTGGTTTATCTGCACACTTCCATACTCTTCTAGAGATGCTCACGCCAGTGCTATGAGGAGAAACTGGTATACGCGCATGCACAGAAAAATGGTATATATTTGGACACAGACATTCTGTATAAACGAATAAAGGACCTGCTGGTGAATGCATTGTTCTCTCCTCCTGGATGCTATCTGGTGGCTCCTCTCCTGCTTTTCCCTTCATTTAGTTTCCCCAAGGAAGATTCTCCAGAAAACACAGCAAATAAAGCAGAGAGGCTCTTTTCTGCCCCTGCCTCAATGGTGGGCCCGCTCTTACCCACAGCTCCAGACAGATGGGCAGGCAGGCAGGCAGGCCAGGAGCCTCAGAACACTGAGGAAGCAGGAGCAGTTCCTCTCGGACCCATGGCAGACGTCAGCCAGAGGAGGCTGGAGGAGGGATGGGCAGCAGGAGGTGGGTTTCAGGTTGTAGCTCACCTCCAGGACACCATGCCGGGGCTGTCCAGAAGTCACCAAAGTCAAGCCCTTGGCATCATAGAGAGGGAAACTGAGGCTCTCAGAAGAGAGCTGGCCCAAGATGGGGAGGGCTTCTACCCAGGACTTGCAGTCTAGTGCGGCCTTCCCCCAGCAGATGCCCAGGCTCCTCCGCCTTCAGTCCCACCAAGGCCTAGCGACTAACGCAGCTGTTGTCTTTGGCCAGGTAGGCCTTGAGGGTCAGGGTTGGGGTAGGAGCAGGGAAAAGGAGAGAGTGGGTGGCAGGGAAGATGAATGAAGGGCGGAGGGTGGCAGGGGCTTTTTCCTTTTCCAGGAATTCCTCCCTTGCCCAACACAAGCTTGGCTTGGGTCTGGACGATTGACCCAAAGGCCAACCCTTGGGGGAGAGAAGAGAACCCCGGACGCAGAGCCAGAGGAGGCCCAAGACCTCAGGCTCCGGAGGTGTTTGGCCACCAAGTGCGCGGGGCAGCAGGGGCCCTACTTTCCCGGGGTCCGGCCCGCCACAGGGGTGCCCAGGGTCTTCTCTGTGCGGTCTTCCCTCGAAGAGCCGGGGAAGCCCAGTCCTGCCGGAGTGGGGCACAGGGCACCGCGGCCCAGATTCCCCGCGGAGCGCCCGGCCCTGCCGGCCGCGGCGACAGTCTGGGGCGGTCCTGCTTCTCCTCAAGACCAGCCGATGGGTCGGGGCGCCTGGTCTCCCGGTGTCTCCCCGTCGTGCGCAGGAAGGTGCTTTTAAAGGCCGGCGGCCGGCGCGCGAGCTCGCACACCGCAGCCGCGCCGGCCTGTGTTTAGTCTGGCGCTGAGGTCCTTCCTGAGCAGATGGGAGGAGGAAGCCTTCTCCAGGCCGTTCCTGCCGTCGCCCACCCGGCCCATCCATCATTTTCTCACCTACTGGCCCCAGGACCGCGAAGTCCTCACTGAGAGCTGGGCACAAAGTCCGGGCCGGGTCACAGACCCCCGCCACCTCGCCCGCGCGTGAGAGCTTTTCCTTCTTCCTTCAGCACAAAGGCTGCCATTATTGCATGTCCCTGTGATGAAACACGCACCAGATTAGATAAGGCTGAATTGCACTTTTATAGGGTGCCAGTATCGTCCATGAGACACTCTCCTTTTATTCGTGAGAGTGTGCGCTTATAAGAATGGTTTGCTTGAGTAGTTATCACTCTCCTCAAAGAGACAACATCTACACACAGAGTGACTTCTTAGGGAAGGACTGCGGGATGCCCAGAGCGGGGGAAATTAGTTACTCGCCGAGAAAGAGCAAGTTACTAAAAGTTGCTGACCTCTGGGGCCTGGCCCAGTCAGCCAGGAGCACTGTTTTGCTTTTGTGTGTGGCAATTCCGCATGGTGCCCGGTGCCATCCCAAGAAACGCACCCTAGGAGTTTTCATTGTTTGCCTTTGTGAGCATTTGCTATCAAAGATGCGGTGTTAGGCGTATTTGTTTTAGTAAGGAACGCATCCAGAGGCGGGCAGACGTGTCACTGGGAGAATGTTTTGGCAGGAGCGGGGCAGGGGTTTTACATAATAGGAAAACAGATGCAGCTCCACCCTTCGAACATCAAGGCAAACACATCCACGCATTTTGTTTAATATCAGTCACATTGTCTACTGTCTGCTGGAAGTAGGTTAATTTTCTAGTAAACACCACTCTTACTGCTGCCAACTGTTTTTTTCTGGAATGGGCTCAGACTCACCCAGGTCCTCCTGCTTTGTTCATTTCAGGTTGTCTTTGGATATTTTAAAAGAGCTAATGCATGACAATAATATTTCCATATATATATGGAAATACATATATGTGTGTGTGTGTGTGTATATATATATAGAGAGAGAGAGAGAGAGAGTGTGTGTGTGTGTGTGTGTGTGTGTGTGTGTGTCTTAGTGACCCAGGCTGGAGTGTAGTGGAGGGATCCTTTTGCTTCTAAACAAAGCTTGAGAAAACTATACCTCGTATTTCTCTTTCTCCTTAGTTGGGCAAATTTTGCATTTCCCTTGATTATGCATTAAATGGAGTAAAATCAGTTTTTCTAATTCTTTTTTTTTCTTCTTGCTTGTTTGTACATCAGCTTTCCTGATGATATCTCTATAGCTCTGCCGATTTCAAGGAGATTCAATTATCAGATGGTGTTGACAGTCTGCTGTAAATCTCATAAAAGGAGAGTTGGGCTTTATTTTCTGGCTGTGCCAGACATTTTCCAATTAAGCATTTAGAACCTAGAAGGCATCCCCGACTAGATCAGAGTAATATGAAATACAGGTCAAGTGCTGGATTCAAAGTCCTTAGCAATGTCCCTTTAAAAACAAATTTCTCTGATATGCCCAGATCTGGGTTTCCAATATTAGCATAACTTTCAGTTTTATCCACCAGGCAAACAAATGTTGTGTCTACATTTGGGGCAAAAAGAAAATGATGGATGCATAATTTCTTTCTCTTAGGAAGAGTTTCTGGAATTTTGAGGGTTCACTCTGGTGTGTCCCTGGATGGCCTCAATTCATCTTCCCCCAGGTGACCAATTGCTGGCCATTTAATATGCATTATTTTTAAAGTTTGACATTAGGTGGATGTGGAGGGATAGAAGACAGAATGGGGGTGGCATCAGAAAAGAGATCAGAGTCCAGAACTGTGAAGAAAGAGTGTGATGGGCCTTTTACTGCGACGACCTTCTCTGAGGAAGCACGAGGACTGTGGTGCAAATTCCCTCATATTTGGAAGGGCTCATTGATGACCATAGGGAGCAAACTGTGTGACAGGGAGAGACGTCGCAGGGAAGCTCCCCTTCCCCTGTTTGGTGATGCCTCTGAAACCCCCGGGATGGCCATGCACAGAGCGTCCCTTGGCGTCTGCTGGCTGGATTGCGGACCTTCTGGCTGCAGCTTGAGACGCCTTCTGTCCTTTCTGTTTTAAAAGATACAGGACCTCTCTGAAACTTCGGTGCTGATTGCTTTGACGTAATCGTTTCCTTCATTAGAGACCCTGGGCCCTGGGGAGGAGAAGGGACAGAGGGAGGAGGTGGCGTAGAGAAGGCCCCTCTGGTGAAGACAGCAGGGGAAACCCGCACCCACTGGCATCCAGAACTTGGAGGGGGGCAGGGGGCGGTCCCAGGATTTGAGCTTCTCAGCCAGCTCCTCCGTTCTAGGGGCAGCCGCTTCCTTTCCTCAGGTGCAGAGGAGACTGGGCTGGCTGGGCCTCTCCAGGCCTCCGCAGGTGGGTCCCGGGGCGCAGGCACACGGAGCACTTTAGTGCACACGGGCAGGAAACTTCTGGACCTTCCTATCGCAGCCACCCAAGGGCGGATAAAGCAGGTGCGGAGGCCGGCCTGGGGAGCAGAGGCTGCCTGGCCGCTGGCGGGTCTCCGGCGGAGGAGGCACTCAGGTGTGGGGCCAGCGCTGGGGCTCGCTTCTCTGCGGGAGCGTGGGTGTCGAGTGTGCGTGTTCACCCTGAATATTTTCCATCTCTGTGCGGAGCTCTATGTCTGCCCGGTCCAATTTCTGCCCACATTCCGTAAACGCCGTGAAAGGCCATTTTTCTTTCTGAAGCAAATCCAAAATAATACACACGATGAAGTGCAGGCAGGATGCCTGTGGAAAAAAGAACTTCTCCAATTATTTCAATGGAACGAAATAGCTGGGCTCTCCAAGCAAAATCTGACTGAGAAATCTGACCTTCCTCCATTGAAGGCCGAGGAGGTCCGGGGGACACAGCCTGGTCACCAGCAGCCACAGGTTAGACCAGGCAGTGCAAGGCCCCGCCGGCCCATCAGGCCCAGGGGCACGACGGGCTTAGCTGTGCCTCAGTTTATTTTTTCTCAAAGGAATGAATCATATCTATCTCTTATAACTTAGACGTTTGAGCTGTCTTTTAAGAGGGGTTTTAGTGAGATGATTCAATGGAGAACCTTCGGAATGCCTTTGAGAAAAACTGTAAATACAGGAAATTAAAACACGAGGATAAACCGCAAGTGAGAGAGTGTGGTGGGGCTCTGAAGTTATGGTTCTGTCGCGAGAGTCGAAGGGTCCCCATGCTGCCGGGAGCCGTGTGTTCGCGTCTCACTCTGCTAAGGAAAGAAGCCGCAGACAGAGGCGGGCAGCATGGCTGGGAGAGGCTCAGATGCCTGCAGGGCCAAGGAAGTCTTCCCCTCAGAGCACCTGCCTGTGCCTCTCCCCCATCATAGTTTGTGTATAAGCCGTCTCAATGAGCTTCAGAAAAAATTGCATCATAGTTTGAAACAAAGGGAGCTATGAAGTCTAGGAAAAGTCATCCTTTATATGTCGCAACAGATATTTAGATTTGTAAATATGCATAAATGACTAACATGCATATCATACTAGTTTACTCCAGTGTGAGTTCGATGTTAAACACAAGTGAGGCTTTCAACAGTGAAATATTTTAAGCCAACTAGATGTCCACTACTAAAAACATCAACTTAATGGGATCACACCAAAAAAGAAGAATGAGGACTTTGCAAAGCCTGGAATGGCGAGCTGCAGATGGATTCATTTGGATGGAGAATGTTAAAGAAAATGCAAAATAAAAATGATGGCCGAGGTCAGGGGGTGATGCTTGTATGATTGTGTAGGTTTTAAAATTACACAGTGGGAAAACAGAATTTGGAAAAACACTGTTTGCCATTTGAGAGCTCAGAACACATCCAGAGAAGCCTCTGAGAAATCCCCACCAATAAGCATGGGACCAGCGGTGGGACAGGCAGAGAGCCTCACAGAAGGCGTGGGAAGAGAAGGAAGCTGAGCTGGTGGGGGAAGGAGACGTGTAAATGGCCCGAAGTAATTTGGTGAGAGGAAGAGATAAACAAGGGGCCTAAAGCCCTGGGAAGCCAGAGAAGGAAAGCCTCCGTGACTCCCAACACCATGGCTTCAAGTGTCACACAAAGCCCCTTATCTCCCTCTGGTCTGATGTTATCGCACCTTTAAATGGTAAATCATTTATATAACATTTGCTGATTCACAAAATGAAGGCACTGAGAATTAACATGAGGATGGGGGGGATAGTTAGGGGCACAGTCTTCGGGAGTGTGGATTTCCCTTGTCACCTGGCATAATCTTATCTCTGGGGCTTATCGTGGGGAGGTGCAGAGGCAGGGAAGGGGCCAGAACTGGAGCTGGGGGGAGGGGGCTGGTAAGGAGGGTTGAGGGCTGTTCTTTTGTTTTTTCTGGGCTGGTTGTGTGTGTGTGTGTGTCCCTGTGAGCCTCCAGGGCAAATGACTCTGGCTTTCCCAGGGGGAGAATTTTCATGAAGCCTTGTCTCTTGGCAAGTTGACTATTGGAACTTCACTCTGCACATTGTAACAGGGGGAGGAGGAGCCTGGGATCTTAGGTGATGTCTTAAACAGAAGAGAGGCTCTGAGAATAGGAAAGAGTGAGAGGAACCAAGAAGTTCCCCATGTTCAACTCCAGCCAAGATGAGCTTTCTTGTCCATCAGCGTCTACAGAAAAGAAATTGCTTTTAAAAATCCGTTATTTACTAGCCTGTTTCAGACATGCTGGATGCGATCAGTGGCATTTTATTTGGGGCTACAAATTAAAGAGAGCTTCCATCTTTTGTACTTATTTGTTGCAAACTTAGTTGCTATGGGTTTAATGCATGGTGTTCTCTTATGATTCCAAATAAGCTAGAATTGGACCTTGTTTTTTGTGTTTGTTTGTTTGGATTATTTACCAATTTAACAGTGGGGCATTGTATACCAACTTCAGTGACTCTAAAGTTAGTAAGTTCTGATAACCCACTGCCAATGGGCCTTGGTTTTCAAGACTGGAACCGGTGGCTTTAGTTATTTCTCAACTTCATAAGAAAGTATTGGCAAATTATTTCCCACCCGCGCCCCCTCCCCTCCTTTTGTTTTCGGTTTCCCCAGCAGGAATCCAGTCTGAGTTGAGGCGCCGGTGGGCAGGGACCGTGATGGAGCTCTGATGCCATCTAGTGGCAACCCGGAGAAGCGCACTTAGATGCCTCGCCTCGGCTGGAGTGAAAGCCCAGGCGGTTTCGCACCAGCAAGGTGGTGAGATGTGTTTGCCAGGTGAAGTCCTTGAGCCTTAGGACAAAGCATTTGCAAGCCAAGGACCTTCCTACCACATTTGGAGTGGAAATACACCGCAAGGGCTTTACGGCTGGGTCCGTAGCGTGACTCCAGCTCATGAGGGAGAGAGAGCAGCTGAACGTCACTGTGGGAAACCGGGGTGTGCTTCGGTGGGCCTGTTCCCCTACCGCGGGCCAAAAAGCCCTCGATGAACTTCGTTTTCCTTGCTTTCTGCTCGGTTCTCTCCAGCTTCAAATCCAAATGTACCCAGAGGCAACGGAGGCCCAGAAAAGCTGAAGATGTGTGTGCAGCACACGGCTCTGCTGAAAGGGCTGAGGGCTGTGCTTGGCCAGCGTGGCTCACATTATCTCCAAAATTAATATTGACCCCGTTGTTACCCCTCCTCAAAGAAGACCCCCTAAACCAAGCTGTTCTTTTGGTGCTCCACGGTAAACTTGGGTAGTGGAGGCGGGGAGAGAAGAGGGTGGGAAGGCGGAGGAGGGCCAGGGGAGGTGCAAGCCCCCCGTGGTTTGCAAAGTGCAGGCTGGCACCCGCGGAGGGAGGTGGGAAGGAGAGCCCCGAGGAGCAATCTCAGGCCCAGTGATTTCAGGGAAGAGTGTGTGCAGAAGTTAGGGAGCTAGGAGCTGAGTTTCCTAAAGCGATCCACACCTAGGCAGCTGCTGGAGAGTCTGTGTGAGGCACGTGGCCCCCAGGGTCCAGATGCTCACTGAGAGAAGAAGGGGCCATGACCACCTCACCCTACTCAGTGCTGCGCTTCTGAACTGGAAGTAGACCCGGGGTGCCCGGACCCGCTGTAGGGGAGGCAGACGCCCGCTGGGGTCCAGGAACAGCCGCCCACCCTGGCCTGGTGTGCCCCGGCCGGCACGGCCCCGCGGCCATCCTGAGGAGCAGCCCTGGGCTGATGGGGCCCCTGGGGATCCCCAGTCTGCTGGCAGACACTTTCCGACCATCCTGGCTGCCTTAGATGTGGGTGCGTCACCTAAAAATACAGCCTGTGGAGAGACCTCAATTGTGGTTCCCACGAGGGGGCATGATGGGTGAAATTAACTGATAAAACAAAATGTTTGTAACTGCCTCCGACGATTCCCGGGAATTACAGAAAGCTCACCTTCGTCTCTCTTAGTCATTGGTTTATTCAACACAGTATCCTCAATAAAGCAGCTAGGACTGCGCGCTATTGTGTCGCAGGCCCCCACCCCCCCGTGACAAGCTCAGCCCCTCCCTTTCCTCCTCTGCTTTGTTGTCACACGAGACACAGGTGGGGGGGACCGTGGCCTGCCTGCGCACGGCTGGAGAGCGGGAGGGCTTGCAGGGGGCGGTGAGGTTGAAGGACATTTCAGCATGGACGGCTGATGGAACGCCTAGAGAGCAGGCTGGGCTTTTGGTGCAGGGTGTTTAGGCTGTACATTTTGAATGCTAATTTCTAAGTCCTGGGCCTGCCTCAGTTGTCGCCATCGGTTATGGTGAGGGCGCTGCAGCCCACGCTGTTCCTCGCCACCACGGCTGGTGGCCAGCCACCTGTCTCACCCAGCGCCCTGCCAGGCTGGGGGCTCCTCCAGAGACCAGCTTCCATGGCGAGGTGCCTGCCCCTCCCTCCTCCCTTGGCCCGTGGCCCCCGAGGGCCCAAGTCAGCATGAAACGCCTGAATCCCGGTGGGAAAAAGGGCCTGCGAGGTGGGTCCCGGCTGGGCAGGGCCGAGACACCCTGGGTGCTGGGAGGGGCGTGGTGGGGCTGCCCGAGGCAAGAGCCGCGCAGGGATGTGGGATCCCCCGCAGTCGCTCCCTGCCCAGGTATTGCCTGACTGCAGTTACATAAAAAGCCTTTATGGGCTGGGGGGAGTGTGTAATTTGTTCTGGAAGAACATAAAGTTCATTGTTTTCCCTCAGCTGTGGTCACTCTGCTCCATCTGTGCTATAAGCGCTCACAACCTCGTCTCTTCCGCAGGCAGTTTTTTCCACGGGCTTCCATGAGGCAGGTTTTAGACGACAGAATTCTAGCCCTTTAGGAATGAAAGAGAAATCAGGGCTTTCTCTCCGTGCCACGGTGGTGAGGCGAGTATTCTATCGAAGCCCACGCTTGGCACGTTTGCTTGTCTCCCGGGCCATTGGAACCGTGTGATCCATAAGGCGCCTGAGCGCGCGTTTGGTCAGAGGGGCTCGGTCACTCGCCAGGGGAAACCCTGGGTGCGGGAGCTTCCTCTGCATTTGGGCTGCACCTTGATAGACTCAGAACCTACAGGGAAAGATGACGGCTAACTCCGCCGACCTCTCAACCGGGAGAGCCCCAGAGAGGAAGCAGATTTGTCTCCTGGACTATCGAAGTGTCCCGGTGGCAAGCTAAGCGGAAAGCTAGTAAGTGGGTGAGTCTGCCCTTGCCAGGAATTCCTCAGCCGTTTTCTGTGCCTTCGTCTGACTTTTTCTTTTTTTAGGATGGTAAAATGAAAACAGCTTATCACACACACGCACACACACGCGCACACACACGCACCTGAATTCCCCACGGAAGCTACAGGAACGTCACCGCCCTCGGCTGCCAAGCAGATTCCAGTGAGGGCAGAAAGAACACCAGTCAAGCAAGGGAGCACTTCCTTGTCCTACAACCTCATCCCAGAGTCTATTTTTGTTAAAACTCCAGAAGAAGGAAGGAAACCCTCCAGCACCCTCACATGTGTTTCTTTCCCACAGGAGAGTCTTGTCTTTTCTTTTTCCCGACCCCCCTGTCCCTTGGAGAAAGAGACCTGGGTCCTTTGCCAGTGGGTGGTGCTGCTGGGGAGAGCGAGGGGGCCCGAAGCTCCTACCTGTGACTTTCTTCCTGGGACGCAGGCTCAGAGTCTCTGTCCCTCCGAGGCCAGCTCTTCCGGACAAAGGTGGCAGGGTCTGGGGTCCCTTTGGTTGGGCAAAGAGATATGCAGAAACCCGACAGATTAGCACAGGTTCCCAAAAGCATTGGATGCGTTCATGGGGTGGGGGTAGCCTCGGCAGGGCTTCCAGAAAATTCGCTAAAGGAGGAAAAGTTCTTCCTTAGCCTCATGAAGCCTGACTTTGTGTCTGATTTTCTCACCCCCGTTGTGTGTTTGTAGAAGAAAAATCCCTGGGAATTGCCTCACTCCTCACAAACACTCCGCACAGCCTTCAACATCACCCAAGGATCTTTTCCTTAGTTCAAAGGAAAAATGTGCTCTTTCAGTCCATGAATGTACCCCTTTCTAGCCGCAGAATCATCACATCACGCACTGTGCATGCCGCACCTGGGGGCGGGGGATGATCAGAAAGCGCTTTCCTTGTAGTGTCTTTTCCACTGAATATACCTCAAAATCAGACTTACCTGGCTGCAACCTTCTGCTCATGGGCTGAGTCTAGGGGCATGCATATGCTTTTTTCAGTTGTCATGTTATTTAAGTTTTGTTTAAATCGATTAGAATGAGCCCCTGCTTTTTGTGGTCTTTCATGTTATTGATATTTTTGAAGAGTCCAGATCAGCTGTCTAGTAGAATGTGCCACCATCTGGATTTGTTAAATTATTTCCTCACAATTATATTAGGGTTAAACATTTAAAAATTATTTTAAATTCCGGGGTACACATGCATGTTTGTTACATGGGTCTGTTGTGTCATGGTGGGAACTGGGCTTCCAATGTACCCAACACCCAAATATTGAACATGGTACCCAATAGGTATTTTTGCCCCTCCCCCTCCTCTCATCCTCTCCGCTTTTGGAGTCTCCCATGTCTATTATTTCCATCTTTATGTCCACGTGTGCCCATTGTTTAGCTCCCATTCATAAGTGAGAACATAAGATATTTGATTTTCTGCTTCTTAGGGTAATGGCCCCCAGCTCCATCCATGTTGCTGCAGAGGACATGATTTCATTCTTTTCTATGGCTGCATGGGAAGAAGCTTGTATTTTATTAAAGATTAAGCAAGATCCATGTTGCTGAGGATGTTTTGTCTGTGTGTGTGTGTGTGTGTGTGTGTGTGTGTGTGTGTGTGTGTGTGTGTGGAGAGGGGTAGGTAGAGTATACCGGAAGGAAGTAGGACTGTAGATGTTGAGCTTTTTGTCCTCCAGAATTGAATGTGGGCCACGCTGGTGTTTGTGGAGTTCCATGATGGCTGAGCTGTGATGACTGATGTTGCCAGGAGCTTTGTCTGTGTGGACTCGACCCTCTGCCATGTTGCCCAGTTCTCCTTGAAGTCAGTGGAAGCTGCATGGCCTGGCCTGGCGCAGCTGCAGGTGATGCAGCCACTGTTAGGTGAGCCTGGCCTCATTCAGAAATGATCTCCAAAATTCTTTAGAGAAAAGGGGGAGACTGCTGTGTGAAAAATGTCTGCTGATGCCTGCAGACCTTCCTAAAGCTGCTTGCGATTACAGCCGTACTTTATTGTCATGATGTTTCGAATGTAGTAGATCTTGACCACAAATTAGCCGAGAAAAGAACAATATTTTAGCATGGCAGCCACCCTGCTGGGAATACTGTTTTGCATCTGGGGCATCATTTGGTTGTTTCTGTTAGGAATTGAAAAAAAAAACTGCTGAGGGTAGAATGAGAAAGAATTAGAAAGAAGACAGCGTCACACACAGGGTTGACAGACTGGCTGCAGATTGAGTGCAAATAGCACATTTACCTGCATGCCCTATCAGAAAGGGCCCGAGGAAGAATGCCTGGCAGCCGGATGACGGCTTCTGTTTTCTTCCCCAGGTTTGGCATCTCACAGCACCCAGGCTCACCCATAGTCTGTTCACTTTCTTGAAACCATCCTGTTCAACTTCTGTAAGACATTTTCTTGACAGAAACTTTGTTCATTGCTATCCAAATACAACACCTGATTCTCATGATCGCGGTAGTTACGTTCTGCAAAGTCACCACGAACACTGACTCAGCACATCATGAGCCATTGCTCCTAGGAGAAGCACAGGGTTGGGTTCCTGCAAGCCTCTGGTCACATTTTTGTCCACTGACCACTACACTTTGTTTTTGTTTGTTAGTTTTTTTTCTGTTGTTGTTTTTCTTGAGACAGGGACTCACTATGCTGCCCAGATTGTAGTGCAGTGGCACTATCATGGCTCACTACAGCCTCTGTCTCCCAAGCTCAGGTGATCCTCCCACCTCAGCCTCCCGAGTAGCTGGGACTACAGGCACACACCACCATGCCTGGCTAATAAAAAAAAAATTTTTTTCATAGAGATGATGGCTCACTATATTGCCTAGGCTGGTCTCAAACTCCTGGGCTCATGCAATCCTCCTGCCTCGACCTCCCAAAATGCTGGGATTATAGGCGTGAGCCACCATGCCTGACCTACACTTTGTTTTATGTGTGTTCTTGTTTAAGGTCACTATATTTAATATATGATTTTGATTCATGAACATTAAACTCAGAGTGACACCACCAGCACTTGTGCCTGAATGGAGTTTCACCGACACACCTGGCTTCTCGCCTTCTGTGCTCAGAAACACTACATAGCTCAGCACTGTGTTTGGGGCTACCCTGGACTTGAAACCACCAACACAAGCGTGAAAATGGGGCACTCAATCAGCTGTGGACAGGGTGCGTGTTTACCACATGAGCTGGAGCGTGGCATGGTCAGCCAGGATCATGCACATCAGGAAACTCCAACGTTTTGCCGCTCAGCACATGTCCACGAATAACTGGGAAAGCAGCACCAGGGTTGATTTGGGAGTTACGAATAAGTTTTAGTTAGGAGAACAATTTACATATATGGAATCTGTGGGTCATGAGGGCTGATCATATATTGATGCAGCCAATGTGCATTTTTAAGATCTGTTGATTGTGGATAATGGTTAACTCCTAGGAAGTGAGTTTTGGGTCTTATCTAATGTCAAACCATTAAAAAAATTAATTGCATTTATACAGTGTTTTGTTGGTGAAGACATGACTTGGGAAATAACTCTTTACTTTTCTTGCCCCTTGAAGTCTTTCAAGCTTGTCTCTCCAGGTTGTCTTTCTACATCCATCAAGGAAATCACCCACCAAACACCTTCTGCATCCCTGGGTGTGCAGAAGGACCTGGTGTTAAGCCTCATTTACCTGCCAACAATAACAGAGTTCTGGGATGTCCTAAAGACCAGCATTTCATCATCGTTGAACTAGGAATATGAGCATGTTCAACAAATTGGGGGAGAGGATAATTTCACTTAGGGATGGCGTTTTTGCCCTCTTGGGCTATATTAGGGAAAAATATTTCACGTAAAGGATCTCTTTCATGTGGCCTTTTCACATTTTCATGAAAAGGGAGGTTTATCAACTTTTTCCTAAGTGAGATTATGACGCTGCCCCCGTAGGGCACCATTCCCTAAGCTGAGTGCCGTAGAGAACCAGCAACACGGGTTATGCAATTGTATAAACTTGGGAATTATGAGCGACGTTGAATTGTTTCCTGCTGCAGACCTTTCCAGAGCCTTCAGCAGCTAATGTACCTTTTGAAATCACAAGGTATGGAAGGCGTCTCACAGAGTTGACCATGGGATGATCTCCTGGATTTGTGTTCTCTAGGCTTATTTTGGGAAACACCCCGATAAGGACTGGATGGATGGTGCACAGAATACACAGGGAGTGTCCGAGGCTGAGGTGCTGCCCCAGTGCTTGGTTTCTGGTGTTGTTTCCCTCATGGATAGAGGGCAGGCAGGGTGGCGGCCACAATGAAATGAAAGATTCCCTCCCGTTGTCTTGCGTAAGTGAAGTGATGGTTGCTCTCTTTTCTCTTTAAGTAGGTATTAGGGGATCATTGCCTGGTTTTCAGGCACTGAAATGGACACGCTCCTCTCTCATGCCTGATTGTGTAAGAAGCATTTATTAACCATGATGAGGAGCAGACGCTGCCTGGTGTGGGCAGTGCACAGGTGAATGAGACCTGGAGTTGCCAAGAGAAGAAAGAAACTCGTAGTGACTTCCCTTTGATCTTGCTTTTCTGGGTGCGTTGATAATCATCTCCACCTCAGTTACCAAACACAAAGATTTCAGGAGTGCCTTGGCCGAAGTTCACTGCCGGCCAATCCCAGTCTTGTAATGACTATTGTTGAAATGCTGTGGCTTTTCCTTCCCTGTTCATATGTCTTGTGTGGACAGTGTCACATGCCCAGCCACCAGATCATAATAGTATGTTTAAAAGATTGCTCTAAAATGGGCTTTTGGAAGGGGAGTCAATCAATCAACCAATCAATCAAGGGAGTCATGAATTCTCAATGTGCCTCTTTTACTTTGCGCAATTTGAGACTTCATATCAGTCATCTCTGTCCATGAGAAAACATGATGGCATTGTAGTTAAAGGCCTCTTATGTGCCAGTCACTGTGCTGAGTACTAGGAGACAGCCCGTGAGATGTAATTTCTGTCCCAATTGAAAGAAGTAAACAGTAACAATTACAGCTGCCGTTTATCAAATACCCACTCTGTACCAAACACTGCTTGAAGACTGAAGGTTTGCTCTGAACAATCACTCTCATATTGCTGGCAATGTTTCATACAAAGATTTTTTGAATGGAATTGACTATAATTGTTGGGGAATAAATGAAATTGCAAAGCACCTTGTACAGCATTGGCCTTGTGGTAAGAGTGAAGGAAAATAGCCTTCACTGCCCATTGTAATTATAATGCCGGGCAACATCTGTTTCTTATTCATCTTTGTCTTCTCAGTACCTGGCCCAGAACACACACTTGATAAATGTTTGTTAACAATGAATGATGGGCTGGGCGTGGTGGCTCACGCCTATAATCCCAGCACTTTGGGAGGCCCAGGCAGGCAGATCACTTGAGATCAGGGGTTCCAGACCAGATTGGCCAACATGGTGAAACACCGTCTGTACTAAAAATACAAAAGTTAACCAGGTGTTGTGGTGTACGCCTGTAATCCTGGCTACTCAGGAGGCTGAGGCAGGAGAATTGCTTGAACCCAGGAGGCAGAGGTCGCAGTGAGCCGGGATTGTGCCACTGCATTGCAGCCTAGGCAACAGAGCAAGACCTCGTTTCAAAAAACAAAAAAACCAACCAACAAACAAAAATCGATGATGATGACTCAAGTAAGAAATAACAATTAACTACTCGGCAAAATAGAGTAGATAGACAGTCACTTTCATACTTTTAACTTTTAGACTTGTTTATTTTGCTCATTTGGAGAACTAATGACGTGTGACTGACGTGGAGACTTGAGTCGAGTCATCAGATAAATCAAGGCAGTGCCGGGTATTAGCACGCATTATCTTGATAATTCAGGCACAGATAGTTTGGGGCCACATATTCTTTGGAAAATGTCCTTACTTTCACGTGAATTTCCACATTGTGGATTGGCGGAAGTTCGGGAACATTACAAACGCTTACCATGAACTCAGGACAACTTGCTCTTAGATGTGGGTCTATATTTTGCAGGAAGGGTTACCATGGGATTGATTCTGAGCAGGCAAGGTTCTGCATGGAGATGGCTTTAGGATAAGTATATGGGTTTTCCTGTGATGTCGACAGCACATGATATTTCCATAAAGGTCACTTAACATAAGCGCACAAAAGCCTTCATGGGTTGTAACGCTGCAGCTGCCAAGCCAGGTGAGCCAAGTCTCACTGCCTGGGGAATTGTGCCGGAGTCAAGACTAGAACCGGCGCTGCCTGGTGTTAACAGGAGCAAACAGGTTCGTGGCAGTGATCTATGGAGTCTCATTTCCAGCTCCTTTATTCACTTGTTCATAACTTTCTGCCAAATTCTTTGAGGCTGAAAGCTTTCTTGTCTGGTGCTGGGCCATGACTGCCCAAAGGTAAATTTTTCTGGAGAGTTTCTGCCAGAGCTATTAAGCCTTTCTTGAATCAATGAAAAAAGAAATTCTTCATTTGAATTTGTTGGCGTCGGTTCTCTGGTAATTCAGCACTTAGCCCAGTCACCCAGAAGATCTCTCTCTCTCACACATACACACACACACCAATACTTGAATACACACATGCACACCCAACCCACACACATAAGCAGACACACACCCAATACACTTGCACACAACTTACACACATGCACACTCACATACACCCATACTCTCACACACCACATACTCATATGCACACACACCCAACACACACCCTCATGCACACTCTCATACACCCAGTACATTCACTATACCACACACACAGACGCACACACCACACATGAACACACACACACACATGCAGGGCCTACACTCTTGGTCTAGACCATGCAAACCTGAACCACAGGGTCATTTTTCCCTTGGGGGCACTGCAGGCTCTCGCACCTGGTCCTGTGGGAAAGGGAGGCTGGAGGAGCAGACAGACTCATCAGATCATGCCCTCCATTCTTTCTCAGCAACAAACAAATGCACTCATTTGCCTGCTGCTTCAAAAGCAGGAGTGTGGCCTGGGTGCGGTGGCTCACACCTGCAATCCCAGCACTTTGCAGGGCCGAGGCAAGATCGTTTGAGGACAGGTGTTAGAGACCAGCCTGAGCAACAAAGGGAGACCCGTCTCTACACAAAATTAGAAAAAAAATTAGCCAGGTGTGATGGTGCACACCTGTAGTCCCAGCTACTTGGGAGGCTGAGGTGGGAGGATGGCTTGAGCTTGGGAATTGGAGGCTGCAGTGAGCTGAGATCACACCACTTCACTCCAGCCTGGACCACACAGTGAGACCCTGTCTCTAAAAAAAAAAAAGAAAAAAAAAAAAAAAGCAGGAGCGTGAACTTGAATGGGAACAGCAGTGAACGCTGAGTCCTGGGCACATTCACTCAATGCCTGTTACCACATAAGAGGGGGAGAGGGGCAACCCCCCGGACCTACATTTTTATATTGGTAGGAAATAGTAACCCTTGAAAACAAGAGGAAGGAGGAAGGCACTGTGGCTACACCCCGGCTATGGAGGTGAGCACCAGCCTGCCTCTGTGTCGTCCTCCGTTTCCTCCATGCCTTCCATACTCAGTTGAGTGGATGCCACTTGTCAAGAGCTATAGTCAGTAGCAATTACTAGCTCCAGCTGTCTGGAGGGAAAAGTGCTGGCTTGATGAATGAAGTGACTTCTAGTCCGTCAGAGGTATGGTTCTGGGAGAGCAACAATCATAACTAATAGTTTTTTACTTAACAGACCTTTTTACAACCCGAAACTCTCTTCACAAGGGCTCTGAAAAATAACTGGACACTAACATGACCTGATTTGGGAAAAAACTGAATTCTCTAATTTTCCATATTGAAAAATTATATTGCCTTGTTCTTTTATTCTGCAAAAGGAAAACAGAAAAAGGCAAAAGTCACAGAATGGAAAAGGGCAAAGAATTTAAGAGGATGAATTGAAGAAGAAAATAAAATGCTGAGGTTGGCTTGGCTTGTTCCAGGGAGAACCTGGCTGGAACAACCGGGTGTTCATCGGGAATTCAGAGGCTGTGCCGACCCTCCAGGGAGCCAGTGCCCGACCTGTCCTCCGGGTGGGGACTGAGGATGCAGAGAATGGCTCAATCGGCTGCACGAGAGGCCCTGCCCTGTGGGCGCTGAGCAGTAGCCATGGTCCCCTGCCGGGTCGGCAGAGTTACCTTTGCTGCTGCATCCATGAAAGACCCTTTCTCCTTGAGCTAGTCGGGGAACCCACGGTGGCCAAGGAAATGCACCACCTCCTTCTACAGACACTTTCCTCCTGGCTGCAGGGGCTTTCTGGTGAGTGTTTTAGTCTCTTCCCAACTGTTTCTTTTAACCAGATTTCACCTGCATGAAAGCCCCCAGTAGGGTGTCAGAATGTGGGGAGAGTGGGGGGATACTTGGCGGGATTGCCCGAGCCTCAGTCCCTAGCCTGTCACCTCGCTGGGGAGTGTGGCAGTTCAGGGCCATCATCTTCACGGCAGCTACGTTCTGCAGAGTATTCCATGCTAAAGCCAGGAGCTTCTGGGGGAGGGTGGTGGGTTTCACATGGATCCTAGCATTTCCTGCCCGTGTTACAGGCATGTGAAACACTCGGTTCTTCTCTCTTATGAAAAGAACTAGAACAAATGGAGTCCGTACATGTGGCCTTCGGGCACTGGGGTGGCTCAGAGGGGAGGAGAGGTGCTTAGAGTTGGTTTTTTGGACAAGACCCAGTGGAGCAATTCTAATTCCCTCTCTGTTGAATGACAGCCAACACTCTTGTGCTGTTGATCTTCTCACCTCCGTATTTGTTTATGAATTATCTGGAAAGGTGATTGTATGAGCTTACCGAGACAGAGTTCCAGGGGCCCCTGGGGGAAGCCGGGCAATGTCTCCACAAGCAAAGCCATGTGGGAGGGCCAGTGGGACACGCAGAGGAAAGCCCCTGTTCCTTGCCACCGAAGAGAGGGTTTTCATGCTCTGAATTGGTACAGTGAGCTCCCTATAAGCACTAAACTCACCCGCTGAAACATTGGCTCTTTATTTTGCGCAATTTAAGAGACAACCAAGGTTATGGAAAATGTTGAGAGTAAAGGTTTTGACCTGACAACTCATAGAATACCCTTCAAAATAAGTATTACCAACATTTAAGAAACTTTTTTCAAAAATCAAAAGAAAGCCTTGAGTTTTTCTGACAGTTCTCTGTTTTTATTTTAAATCAAATTTTATTGTTCGAATAGCAAACCATGAGCATGATTTAAATAGAAAAAAGACCTAAGAAGATAGGCATTGAGAAGCCTTTCTCCCATTCAGGTCCAAATCCCACCGCCAAATATAACTACTAAGCAAATATAACTTCGATTAGTTTTGTGGGAGGGCAGGTGGGAGTACGTCCATCCCTTATGGAAATATATTCATAATTTTGAAAATTCTTATTTTTCATTCTTTCATGACCAATACAACCTTGCTTTTTTTCACTTAATATGGCATCCTGTTGGTCTCCCCTTTGTACACAGGGCCTCCCCTTTTAGAATTGCCTGGTATTCTATGGGGTGGAGAGGCCTCAGTTGATTTAACACGGCCCCTATAGATGGATACTTGTGCTGTTGCCAGCCTTGACCATAACAAACACGGATTCAACAGAGCGCCTTGGCCATATGTCATTAAGTATGGAAGTGGGAGCATCCACAGGGTCAATCTCCAAAGTCAGATTGCTAGGTCATGGGGCCACGCACTGACAGCTCTGATAAACAGAAAATCCCTCTTCACCAGTGTCTTACCTCCCTGCCCTCCTACCAGCCACAAGGAGATGGACTGTTTCCTCACAGCCTTACCAACCGAACATGCTGACCAGTTTTTGGATTTTGCCAGTCTGATAAGTGAGAAATGTTATCTCAATGTAGTTGAATTAGAATTTCCTTTGAGTTCTTTTCATACATTCTATTTCTTTTCCTGTGAACTATTTATTCATTTGTCCACCTTCCTATTGGGTTATTGGACTTTTTCTTCCTGATTTATAGAAGTTCTTTATGTATTAGGAAGATTAACCCTTGTCTATGATATGAGTTACAAACATTTTTTCCCCAGTTTGTCATTTGCCTTTTGACTTCGTTGATGGTGTATTTTTCAGTTTTCTCTTATGCATAAATAAATAATGGAAAGAATAGTACAATGGTCAGCTGTATGTCCACCCTCTAAATTCAACAATTTGAATTGACATCGGGTACCGCTTCTGCCTTATCTCTGTGTGTGCGCACGTGTGTGTGCTCATGTGTGGGCATGTGTGTGTGTGTTTGTGTGCTTCTAGACACCAAGGACTTCTGTGTGTACCTTCTAAAAATAAGGACGTTTTATTATACACTCATCATACCATTATCACATCCAAGAGAATTTACAATAATTCCTTAATATCATCTCACATCCATACTATCTATGGTGTTTTCCACATAGAAGTTTTTGATTTTTATGTTTAGATTAGCCAATATCTCTCAATCTTTTTTTAAATGGCTACTGAAGTTTTGCGTTACAGTTAAAAAGACCTCCCTCTTCAAGGCTTTAAAGGTAGATATCTGACCTTGAATTTTTCTGCTACTTTTTGTGCTTCTACTTTCTAATGTTTAGATCTGTGATACATTTGGAGTTACTCCGGCACATTCTGGGAAGGGCGGGTCCACTTTACCTTTTTCCAGATGGCTGCCTGATGGCACCGGCCTCCTTTATTTAAAAGTCCATCTTTACTGCCACCAAGCTAAGATGTAGTCTTGATCATATATTGGTTTCACATATTCATTTGACCCTCCTTCTGAGTTTTTGACTCTTTTCCACAGGTCTGCCTTTCAGTTTTAATTATTTAATTAACACCTTTAGAATATGTTTTAATACCTCTGAGGGCTGGTCCTTCTTCATTTTTCTTTCTTTTCAGAATTGTCTTGCTTCTTCCTTTTTTTCTCCATATTAACTTTAAAACTACATGTCTAGTTCCAGAAAAATCCTCTTTTAAAAATGGAGATGATGTTCATATATAAGTGACCTTAGAGATAATTGATGCCTTTTTTTTTTTTTTTTTTTGAGATGGAGTCTTGCTCCGTCCCCCAGGCTGGAGTGCAGTGGTGCAATCTTGGCTCACTGCAACCTCTGCCTCCCGAGTTCAAGCGATTCTCCTGCCTCAGCCTCCCAAGTAGCTGGGATTACAGGTGCCCACCACCAGGCCTGGCTAATTTTTGTATTTTTTAGTAGACACAGGGTTTTACCATGTTGGCCAGGCTAGTCTCAAACTCCTGACCTCAGGTGATCCACCTGCCTCGGCCTCCCGGAGTGCTGGGATTACAGGTGTGAGCCACTGTGCCTGGCCATTGATGCCCTTTAATGCTGAGTCTTCCTAACAAGAGATGAGTAAGGTCTGTCCTTCCATCCACACAGCTGTACCCTGTGTTCTTCAGGAGCATTTTGAAGTTTCATCCTAAAGGTCTACACATTTCTTGTTATGTTTTTCCTGTGTATGAATGGCTGAGTGAAACCACCCGAGATATGGGAAATGAGACCTTATGAACCCCCCCAGAACTGTGTCCCGCCCCAGGAAGGCAGCTGCCATGGGCCATTCCCAGTCGCATCTTTGTCTCCCTTCTCTGTAGATGTTTGCTTTGCCGCCTAGATGTAACCCCTAAACCATACAGGGTAGTGGTCTTTCTTGTGCCTGTCTTAGAGTTTTCTGGAAGTGGCGTCATATTGCCTGGGCTTTTTTTTTTTTTTTTTAGATGGAGTTTCGCTCGTATTGCCCAGGCTGGAGCGCAGTGGTGCAATCTCAGCTCACTGCAACCTCCGCCTCCCGGATTCAAACGATTGTCCTGCCTCAGTCTCCCAAGTAGCTGAAATTACAGACATGTGCTACCACACCTGGCTAATTTGTTTGTATTTAGTAGAGATGGGGTTTCACCACATTGGTCAGACTGGTCTCGAACTCCTGACCTCAGGTGATCCACCTGCCTTGGCGTCCCAAAGTATTGGGATTACAGGCATGAGCCACCGTGCCTGGCCAACGTGGGGTCTTGGTTGCTTCTCTTCCTAAACCTCAGGCTTGTGAGATGGAGCCTGTCTCATGTGCGTCTCTCTGGTTCACTGTTTTCATTGCTTATAATGCTCCTTTGTTCATTTTCTACTCATTTGTGTCCGCTAGGTGTTTGGGTTGCTTCCAGTTTGGGGATGCTATGAAGAGGCTCTGTGCAGCTCTCCCATTCGATGCTGTTGTGCCTGTGCGTGCATTTCTGTGAAGTGTGTCCCTGGATGGGAAATTATTGGGTCACAGGCAGGGACACTGTCGTGGACATTACCAACGATGTACACTCCCGGGAGTACTGTCACTGAGCTCCGGGTGGCCCACGTCCTCCCCGAGTAGTGGCTCCACATGGCGGTGATTCCTCCCTCGTACACCTTGACTAACGTGTGTCCCAGCTCCCGATCCCTGTGCGCAGTCTTCTTCTCTGGACGGTCCCGCTTCCAGTGTAGGGCCCCAGTGCTGTCATGCTTCCTATCAGCCAAAAGCTTTGTGGTCAGGGACAGTGGCTTCAGGCATGGCTCTAGGTGGGCGGCCACACATGAAGGTGGGAGTTGGTGAGATGGGGCGCTGCTGGGACGGCGGCACAAGGAGAGCACATGACGGGGGCGGTGACGTGCCCGGAGCCAGCCTCCCAGCACTGGGCTCTCAGGTCAGTGCACCCCTCCGCTGTGGCCAGCCCCTCCCCACCCTGTGGCTGTCGCGTGGGTGAATCAGCCCCACAGAGAGGGCCCGGGAGTCTTTCTGCCCACTGTCTCTGCTGGGGTCTTTGGGACTCACTCCATGAGCTCTCCAAGCCTCACCTCCCCAGGCATCTTGGGTAACTCTGGGCAGGCCAAGTCCTCTCTGGGCTCAGGAGTCCTTCATCTGCTCTCCTGGTCTCATAGGACAGTAGCCCTCACCCGCCCCAGGCCTGACTCCCTCCTGCAGCCTCTCTGAGTCCCTCCTTCAGCCATTCTGACAATGCCCAGCTGCTGCTTTAGTACAAGGACGAGCAGGAGACCCTGGTGTAGAGGATCCCCACCATCCCAGAGCCTGCAAGACAAAGGCTCAGGTAGAAGAAGGAGGGCCAGGGGCTGCAGGAAGGCAGGAGGATGCCAGGGGGAACCGAGGTAGCTGGAAATGTTGCGAAACACACACTCACATGCCCCAGCTTGCCCCCAAGCCGGCTGCACTGCTTTCCCCTCCTCAGCCCACTCATGGCTCGGGTCAGCCGACGTCCCATCCTGTGCCTTTCCATGGTGGGAGACCACCGCGGGATGGACCTGTGCCCCTGACCAAGCCTGAATTATAAGATAATTCTTTTGCTTCTAAAGGCTTCTTTCTAAGGCAGAAGAGTAGACACAGGTTCTGAAGATTCTGATCCCAGAGTTCTGGCTTTCCCCTCCCTTTGTGGCCCCCAGTTCCACCAGCAAAGCATGGGGTGCTTTCCGGCCACCCTGCAAGCTGGGCTCCCAGGTAAGTCATCCACGACCTCTCGTCCAGGTTTGCTGGCTCATGGATTTTTCTCTACGCTGATTTTATCACTTCATATAAAATTGGACCTTGGTTGTTTTTAGCCAATGCAGTAGTAATATTTTTTTTAAAGTAGACTCATGAGAGTGTTCCCCAGCTGGGGCATGAGTAATCCATCCCTAAGCTGCTCCAAGTAACAATCCTGTTAGTGGACCAGAAAGCTGCTTTCTCTCAGACCATTGATTTCAAAGCTGGAAAACAGCAGGTAACTCTCTCACATCTTTGTGTATCTTTTTTTAAAAATTTAGAGCAAGCGGTTGTGTGTTTCAGGGAAAGATAGGCTTGGGATGGTTGTGGGAAGGGGAGGATAGACGGCTCGTTCCGGAAGATAGCAGACCTTGGTCTCTGCCCCTGATGCTGCGGTGGCTCCAGGCTAAGCGAGGAGCTCACACAGGGGAGGACAGTGGCCCAGGACCGTCCCCAGCCACCAAGTCCACTGGCTTCACTATCTGCACAGGTGCTTCCCTCTCGGAGGTGAATTTTCAGAGCTACTCGCACCTTCAGGGAAACCTCTTCATCATCTCATTGTCCTCCTGGACTAGGGAAGCTGGTGTAACAGAAGGGTCCTTGCAAGGAGTAGGGGGGAGGAAGGAGCGCACAGGAAAGGGGGGAAGGGCTGGAAGTGAGGAGGGGTGAAATGAGGGGGGAACGCACCTGACACTAACCTGGGCTCACTCCCCTGTCCCTGGGGGCTGCTTCTTTTGGAGCTTGTTACCCCCTGTAGGACAATGTCCCTGACAGTTGACCTTGCTATTCGTAGCACAGGCAGGCCAGCAACCACGGGCCCTGGAAGCTGCAAGTGTATAAATATATCATGGGCTCCTTGGCCCTGAGCCTGGGTGTGGTCTACAGCTGCCCAGGTCTCCATCCTGGGCAGAATGGAAACCTTCTTCATCGGGGAGGCCCTGGGATTATTTGTAGGTCATTCTTGCCCCGGTTGACTTACAGCCACAGCACTTACTCAGTGTTTAATGCTGTTGACCCTCTCTCCACTGCTCAGCCCTCGCAGCCTGCAACTCAGCTTTGTGGCTCCTTTCTGGAAGGTTTCCAGTGTCTCAATGTTCCTCTGAACTTGGGGTGCTCCAAACTGTCTGCGGTCTTCTTTTGGGGCTGAGCTAAGGTTGGGATCTGCAGAATAAAGGACGTCTTGTTCTCACCGAAGCCTGCAGTGTTTGCCTCTTTGTATGCACCCAGTGTATCATGTCTTTAAAAAAAATTCCTTTCTGTGACTACATTACATTATGTATTTATAATGACTCTGCTGTTCACTGATACACCCAGACCATTCCTGGAACCTTGCTTTCCCCCATCATCTTCCCACTGTTTCTCTATATCTGCCACTGGAGCAGACATGAACTAATAAAAATGTGGCCTCTCTGCCTTTGGAGGGCTTTGATGTGGTGATGAGTATGTTCTTCCCAGGTAAAGAAAAGTCCCATCCGTGGTCTCTTTTCAGCCTGGGGAATGGGGTGCATCTCAGCCCAGGTCTCTTTGCCTACTGGGGTGCTAAACTCAGGCTGCAGAATCTCTCTAGAAATCAGAAAGGATGAACTCTGATTTCAGAATCTGGAGGGATCCCTTTTCCCTCCTGTTAGGGGAGATAGGGTCAATGTTATTCCCATCATCAGTTCCTCTTCGGTCTTTCTTGCTCATTTCTTCCAAGATATTACCTGATTTTTTTCTTGCAAATTACAAGGTAAGATCATGGAGTTTCAGGCCAGAAGCCTATTAGGGACTAATTTTAGAGCCGGGGCATCTGAGCATCAGAGGGGACACATGTGACCTGACCACAGTCGTGGTTAGCTGCTGGTGCACTGGACCAGAACCCATGCAGGATGTTTTCCGGACCATTTGTTCAAACAGCTAATAAATGATCAATAAATCTGATATAAGCGAGAACTCACCGGGCGTTTCCCCACAATGCCTCATCCTCAATTTATGAGGAGGGAATTTGTATGATTTTTCCTGTGCGTGGCCACTAGGCTTGAATTCATCATACCTAGCCTAGCCTCTGTGGAAAGGACTGTGGTCAAAATCTGACTAATTCATCAATGAATTTATGGTCTGTTCAAAGCCCACGTAAGAAATGGAAAGAACCGTGGCCAGTCTGTGACAACAGGAGGATTTATTTGGTATGAGATGGTTACCATAGAGGGACTCTTTATAATTTGTTGGATACAAGGTTCTTGCAACCGTGGAATTTTGGACATGTGGCATTATTGTTTTTGGAGAGCTGGTGGAGTAACCCACTCAATTATCAGTTGTGCTTGGATGAGCAATAAATTCCAGCAAAGAAATGCAGAAAGCAGAGCGGCAGGCCTTCTCCCCGAGAGCGCCGGCTGCCGCGCAGTCCCTCTCACCCCTCCTGCGTCTCACTGGCTTTTCCTTGCAGTTTCATTTTTGAGGTGTTCAAAAGCAGGATTTTCTACACAAAATAATAAAATGTAAATGTAAAAACAAATCCCGCCACTGGCGTTTGAAGGCAGGTTGTTGCATACCCAAGTGCCAGCTTCCTTTCCAAAAGTGGAACATCACGGAGGAACACGGGGCCCCGGCTGAGGGTGCGCGGTGTTTATTCTCGCCTTTGCCCTCAGGACTCAGTGTTCCTTCTTTCCAGGGACAGCTTGACACAGATGGCATCCAAGGTTCTCTTCGTCCTTCTTGGGACGGTTGTTTCTTACCGTTTAATGATCACAGTGTGGAAATATAACATTGAGCTTTGAGGCCGCTGTTGTTTCCAAATGCTTTGACAGCTACATGCAGTTTAGTGTGCGTGTATTCCGCCCCCTTTCAGTGCCCATTTTCAGATATTCATCCTCATTTGGGACTTTTGATCTGTCCTGGATGCCTTCCAGCCTGGGCCAGGTAGGAGTGTGGCAGGCATGGCAGGGGCAGGCAGGGCTGGCAGGCACAGCTGCCCCGACGGGTGGGGATGACCAGCCGGGGCTCGGCTTTGTCTCCACACCACAAATGTCTTCCAAAGTTGGCCTGCAGCTTGCGGGGCTCCTGAAGCCTGAAATGGACCAGGGGATGCTAATATCTCACCTCTCCCAATTCAGGTCCCCGGCTGCAGGCAGGGGGAGATCTGGGCAGCCAGTGTCCTGGGAGAAGGAGGAGTGTCCCTTGACCCTCTATGGGACATTTGCTAGCAGAAGCTGGAGGGGCCGCAGCCAGAAGGAGTGGCTGAGTGAGGGGGTATTCAGGCCAAAGCAGTGGTGGGAAGTGGTACCTCTGAGGGGGCGTGTGGAGGCTGTCTAGGCTGGGGGCCCCCTGGCCGGGCCCTTTCCATTTGCTCTCTGTCTATGTATTTGTTACACATAACAGAATCATTTGATGGCATTTTCTGATAGGGCCCTGAAGTCTATTGAAAATGGTCCATCTCAGTTGCTTGGCTCCAAGGGTGTCGAGTATGTTCCATTCACTCCAGAACAGGGTTCTGAAGCTCAGACACTCCCAGCAGCCTGGCGTGGCGGCTGTGCTGAGTGGGAGTGGGACAACCGACCTAGGGGGCAGGTGCTGTCAGCCCCACAGATGATGCCACACGGGACGGTGGGCCTCACGAAGCCTCATTTTCCAATCCACGGAGAGGAGCAGGAAACCGGGACTTTCAATGGTGGCGACTAATTCACCTTTTTCAAAGAACCAACAAAATTCCCTGAAGGCCAAACACGACCATTTTGGGTCTGTTTGCTTTCCCATGGTCACTAGTATTTTCTAGACTTCCTCCGTGAAGTCAAGAAGAGACACTAGGTGGTCTTTCCTAAAGAGCTTTGTCTTAACTTCCTGGGAGTTAACGTACCCATTAAGTTAGGTTATCCACTGAGCAATGCTGGAGTGTGGGCCCTGGCTGTGTCTTTTTCCAACTCCTCCTCTTTCATTATTGCCAGGACTAGTTGTTCTGCATGTTATTTCATAAACTGACCTCTAAGAAATACGTAGTAAAATAGCATGATAGAATTTGAGAGCCGAAGTCCATCAAGCTGGGTTGTGAGAACAAGTGAGAAAGTCCTGTAGGCACCATTAGGTCAATTGCAAATGTAAGTGCATTCCCGGTCTCAGGGATGTTTATGGGATCTCTGCAGAGGTCTCTGTCCTATGCAAACATTCTGCGCCCCCCGACCCCGCCAGCTGTGCCTCGGGTGCTTCTGGGCTTGTGAACTGACCTCAAAGACAGTGTCTCAGACCCTTTTCGAGGCTAGGTGTTCTAAACCCCCGGCCATGACCCTGCAGCACAATGGGTCATAACTAAAAATTAAAAATGAAGTTTTAATTTCCTTTCCCACTGGGGCCAGAAGTTCAGAGAAAACAAGGCTAGCAGGGGGTTTACTGGCAGCCTCCTTTTCCCAGACCTTGCCGCCAGGAGTGTCTGTCACAAAGCCTGTTGAAATGTGCACTTTAATCATCAAAACTGCATTTTCGGATTGTGGGGAGCCACAGTGCTGCTTTCCCATCAGAACAAGGCCAGCCTTTCATTCCCCACTGAGTGCCGTCTTTCCTGCTTTGGCTGAGGTCTGGGTGTGAAGAAACGTTTCAAAATAGGGCTTCCGGGTCCGCCGGTTTTGGAGAGAGAACTTCTGGTGTTACTGGAATCCTTTTCTTTGTGAACAGGAGCAAATGCAGTCTGAAGCCCTGAGACCACAGCCTCTGTGGCCCGTGGGGGAGTCAGTGTTACGCCTGGGCTGAGGCTGGAGTGGGGCTGGCTTCTGGCGTGGGGAGGCTGTGGGGCAGTGGGGGTTTTGGCTGTCTTCCTGGAAGAGTGGGATGATTGCCCAAATCTCCCTGCTTCCCAGGTGGACATGACTCTCCTATGAGAACGCCACTCAGGACGCTCCTTCCCCTCTTTCACTTTGCTGCTTACAGCTTGAAGCTGTGGGGGAACTGTCAGCTGCTTACTATAACCTCAGCTGCTTTTTCTAAAAACCAGACTTGCGCTTTTAAACCGCTCCCAGGGGATCGCTGGCCACTGCCTGCATTAGCTGTGAGGTGACAGGGCTCTGTGGGCTGACAAAGAGCCTGGGAACTTGGAGCTTGTGAGTTTTATGGTCCCAGCTCACTCCAACACCGAAGCCCTCTGAGGCTGTTCAGGGCCGGGGTTCCCAGGCCTACCCACACCTACAGAGGAGGCCTGGCCAGGGCAGGCACTGGGGGAAGGCTCCAGGCTCCTGTGTGGGTGGGTGGTCATGGCCCTGACACCACAGGGCAAGCCCAGGGCCTTAACAGAACTCTGCCCTTGTTGGGGGGTGGAGGGGGGTTGTGTGAAGATAAAATCAGT